>NC_000019.10:43907540-44210570 GCF_000001405.40 Homo sapiens | reverse complement strand
GCTTAAATATTCCCTGCTCTAATAAGACTTACTGTGGGTTCTTGCCTTGTAGACTAATAAAAGTAGTGTGTAGTAGCTAATATTACAGCCTTAGTATAAAGCTATCTAGATTAAAATACTAGTGCTTCCATTTCTTCTGTCCCCTTTTTCTTCATTTGTAAAATGGAGACTATAATAGGGTTGATATCAAGTACAAATGAATAAATACATGTAAAACACTGGAAATTCTGCCTGATTCATGACTACCCTATAAAAAGTTAGCAAATGTTAACCTCAGGGGATAAACACAGGACACATAAATTATGGATGGAAGGTTTCTACAAAAATTTGCTTTGATCACTAAAATATTATCAATAACCATGCATCAACTTTTGATTACTGGGAAAAAAACTAGAAGACTATGCAAATGCATCCCACCAAAAGTGAGATAAAGAGTCACTAATATTGACATTATTTCCTTTTATTTTTTCCTAAATCCATTTTGGGAATTCTGAATACAATCTAAATGATCTGCAGGTTTCCATTTCAAGATACTGGGCAGCTCCACAAACCACAAACACTAAACCCCTCCTTACCAGTCTTGTGCTGGGTGCTAAGCACATGGTAAAGAATGGGACATAGTTCCTGCAACAAAGTAACATGCAGCCTAAGGGAGAAACAGATCAGATCTAAAAGACCCTGAGTAGGCCGGACTCTGTGGCTCACGCCTGTAATCCCAGCACTTTGGGAGGCCGAGGTGGGCAGATCACGAGGTCAGGAAATCGAAACCATCCTGGCTAACACGGTGAAACCCCGTCTCTACTAAAAATACAAAAAATTAGCCGGGTGTGGTGATGGGCGCCTGTAGTCCCAGCTACTCAGGAGGCTGAGGCAGGAGAATGGCGTGAACCCGGGAGGTGGAGCTTGCAGTGAGCCGAGATCGCGCCACTGCACTCCAGCCTGGGCGACAGAGCGAGACTCCGTCTCAAAAATAAATAAATAAAAATGAATAAATAAATAAATAAATAAAAGACCCTGAGTAAAACATTCCAAATAAAGAAGCCAAATTCATAACTATTCCTTTCCAAATCTCAATGATTCCCTCTCCTTTAGGTTTTTCACATAACTACCTTCCTCCTAGTTGCCAGGAAAGAAAACCCTGAAGTTATTTGCTTTCCTTTGCTCTTCATTCATAATTACTTTATGTTAATTACTTTTAATTTCTACCGACTGACTAGGATTTGGTTTTGATTTTAAATAGTCAAATTCCTCCTCTTCCCACCAAAAACATATGTGGGAGAAGAGTAATAGATGCAATAAGATAGACAAAATGTTTACAAGAGTTAAAGACAAATGATGGCGGGGTGGGGGTCATTAACACTATTTTCTGTATGTGCATGTTTGGGAATTTCTACAAGAAAAATTAGAGAAATACCATGTGGGTGGTATGGCACCAATGCATAAATGCATTTAAAATGTTAGCAGTGGTTATCTCTAAATCCTGAGATTATGGGTTAAAGGAACGGGGTCTCGCTGTCATCCAAGCTGGAGTGCAGTGCCGTGGTCATAGCTCACTGCAGCTTCAAACTCCTGAGCTCAAGCGATCCTCCCACCTCAGCCTCCCAAGTAGCTGGGACTATCGGTATGTGCCACCACACCCAGCTAATTGTTTAAATATACAGCAGTGAATATGGGTAACTTTCATTTCCTTTTATACATTTCTGTATTTTCTAATCTCTCTATAATGGTCATGCATTATTTCTATAAGGAGAATATAGACTCTAAAGCCCCAGATCACCTTCCAAACCTGATAGAAAAAGACTTCCACAAACCATATACACGATTATTTCATATGGTTCTAAGAAAAATGTACAGCGTGGAGAATATGAACACAGACTTGAGGCTCCAACTTCTTGGGTTCATATGGACGTTCTGCCTCTTACTAACTGTACGTTTTAGGGTTCGTCTTCCCTCTTCTTTTTCTTAGAGCATTTCCATAAGAAACCTAGTGCTTCTGAATCCTTTCTCTAACCTTTTGATACGCATGTAAATTTCATTAGCGGCTATGTAAGCCTCTAGCCAGGTTTACAACCTAGAAGTATTTGTGAAAGTTCTGAGATTTGTCCCTTTTGAATATAAACATCTGAGAAAATAACAACCCACTGTCCCTATCACTGCAAGAGTTTAACCAAGGTGCCTCTCTTTAAACTGTAAATCGGCTAGCAGATGAGGTAAGAGAAGTTTTATTACTTTCGATAAAGTTAGTTAACTAACACTGGATTCTCAAGTAAATTTAGAATAAATTTATAAAAGAATTTGCAGTAAATGATGAGACCAAGTCCTCTTATTGAAAAATCATTAATCTTGAGAACTGATGTACATAGTGGTCAAAAGTAGAATTGTATAAAAAGTTTAAAACTGCTTGACTGTACACATAGGGCGGAATTTTTTAATAATATTTTTCTTTAGATTGCCTACAATACTATACAGTGGTTGTCCTTATTCAGTAATAAGACAGCTTTCTTTTCTACATTGTGTGGAGAGGTCTATTATCTTCGTCTCTCTGTTAGAACATAAGTGGTACCTACCACATAACGGTATTTTGGACATTTAATGAATAATTCGTATAAAAGTACAAGGACCTCCTACTAATGACTCTACTTCAGGAATGAGGAGAATGGGATAGAGAAAGATTAAGATTAACTCACAAAACGTTATAACACTAGTAAGTGGCAGAGCTGGCAAGTAGGTGGGAGAGGCTGGCTGCGGAACGCCAGGAGACCCTCTAACCAAGCGACAACCGATCCAGGACGCTCCCAACCCGGGGACGCAAGAACTGCTCCAAACGTGAGGCTCAGCCGAGAGGAAAGAACACAAACTGCTCCCAACTCCAGCCTCCCAGCTGGCCACAGCTTCTCTAGCCTTCCTCCAGACGAGGGCCAGGGCCCCGCTTGCTCCCTGACGAGGCTGAGAAAACTTGGAGGGTCCCAGCGGATCCAAACACTTGTTTTCGCCCTCCTAGAGCGAAAAAACTTCCCAGCAACTAAAGAGAAACCCCGGATCACTTCCCACAATTCCCTAGCTCCGCCATCCAAAAGCGGAAGTGCCCCAGGCTACGCGGGCCCCTGACTACACTTCCCAGAATGCCCCAGGGGAAACCGGCCATAGTTCCGCTCCTTGGAGCGGAAATACTTCCGAGTAACCTGAGCTTCCGGGTATCCTAGAAAGCCAGAGCAAATCTTAGCCAAGATTTGCAATTTTAGAGTGGAAGTGTCTGTCTTGGTGGTACCTACCGATTCTGTTGTTCAAGGGCCTTGGGGAAGAAGTTGGGGATCGGGAGAAGGGTACCTAGTAAAACCCAAAGAGCTGCACTACAGGAGTAAAGATAAAGGGCAAATAGATCATCTTCACTAGGGGACTGAAGCAAAACTTGAAATCACATTCGTACCTGAAAATAGATTAAAGTAAACCTTTTCTGTTAGTGTTTGCAGGTACCTGACATAAACAAAAATATTCTAATGGAGAAAGAGACTATCGTCCTAGGCCTCATATTCTTTCTCTAATTTTAAAATATATTAATATTGGACAAAGTACAATAGTCCTTGAAGAAAAGAACATTTTAAGATATACAAAGAAACACTTCATAGTAATGAAAATTTTCTATCAACTATAACAGCCTTACATAATGTAAAGCAAACTTTATAAAGAAAAATTGATTGACAGACTCATAAGGAGAAAAACACTGATAAACAGGAGAGCTTTTAATACATGATTAGAAGGAAACATAGAAAGCCTTGAAATCATATACAGGTCCTGGAGTTAACAATGGTTCACTTAAGATTTTTCGACTTCATGATGGTGTGAAAGCAACACACATTCAGTACAGTACCTATACAACCCTTCTGTTTTTCCCTTTCAATACCTATTCAATAAATTATATGATATTCAACACTTTATTATGAAATAAGCTTCTTTTTGCTAGATAACGTTGCCCTTGGATCACCTGAGGTCAGGAGTTTGAGACCACCCTGGAGAATATGGCAAAACCCTGTCTCTACTAAAACTATGAAAATTAGTCGGGCGTGGTGGTGCGCACCTGTAGTCCCAGCTACTCTGGAGGCTGAGGCAAGAGAATCACCTGAACCTGCGAGGCGGCGGTTGCAGTGAGCCAAGATCGAGCCATTGCACTCCAGCCTGGGCGAGAGAGCGAGACTCCCTCTCAAAACAAAACAAAACAAAAAACCTTGCCCAACTGGGGGCTAATATAAACGTCATGAGCACCTTTAAGGCAGGCTAGCCTAAGCTATGATGTTTGGTAGATTGGGTGTATTAAATGCATTTTCGACTTAGGATACTTTCAACTTACGGTAGGTAAGTTCATCAGAATGTGAGCCCACTGTAAGTTGAGGAGCATCTGTCCTAAAACAGGAGAAAAGCTGAACAAAAAAATAAAAACATTTATCTCAGGAATTCAATAAACAAATACCAAAACCACAGTGGGTAGATGGAAAGAAATGATCAAGATAATAGGAAATACATGAAATAGAAAACGAAATGGAGTGGATCTTAAAAAGTAAAATGATCATTCTATAAATAGAACAATAAAACTGACAAAGTCCAGTGACAGTAAACAAAAAAGACAGAAATGACATATTACCAGTTTCAGAAGTAAAAGGGAACATCACTAAATATATTGAGAATATTATGAGGAACATTATGATGATACATTTAAGAAATATAAATTCCCACTTAAAACTAAAATGAACATACACAACAATTAACAAAATGTTGAAAATTTATCTCTGAGAATGAGAATGGGAAGAAAATGCTGAATATCACCACTTCTAATCAAATTGTACTGAAGCTTATATCTAGCAACTTGGTCAAAATAATTTTATTATTTATTTATTCCTTTCTTTTCCCTATGGAACACTTTCATTTCCTCCCCCAGCCCCATATTTTGTTTGTTGTGTTTCTCTTTGTGTGTGTTTTGTGCAAAGTGCATGTGATGTGGTTGTGTGTGCACACTTTTAGTTTATATAAGTGGTATTATGTCATAAAAATAAATGTTAAGACTTTCAAAACTCAGCAGTATGTTTTAAAGATTCATCCATGTTTCTAGCATACATTAACCTATTTTATAGAACTAATTGTTTACACCCAAAATATTTTACTATTCCATGACAGAAACCTGGATTGCCATTGGCAATAACAATGCTAGGAACATCACTATACATCTTCATAGAAATGTGTGACAATTTATTTAGGACACATATCCATAAGTGTAGTTGTTGGTTCATAGCAGAGTCATATACTTACACATTTACAAATAATATTAATAGCTATATTGCTCTCCTGAATGGTTAAACCATTCCACATTCTCATGAGCACTGAATACAGTTTGTTGTATAACCACCCATTTCCATACCATCATTTGCCATGAACCATCATCCTATGTCTTGCCACTCCATTAAACACATACTGGTATTTCACTGTTTTAATCAAATTTCTCTGATTTTTAATAAGTTTGAGCATTTCTTCAAAATACTTTACAGCCTATTCTGTAAACTGTATATTTATGCCCTTTTCTTCTGTTATGGGTGCTATATTTTCCTTGTTCACTTGGATTATATACCACGAATATTAATACCTTATGCATTTGAGACACAGCAATACCTACTATTTGGTATTTTTTGATATTTCTTTTTTTGATGTATTGATTGTTTTTTATTAAATTTTTTTAATTTATTTATTTTTATTTTTATTTTTTTTTAGTATTTATTGATCATTCTTGGGTGTTTCTCCGAGAGGGGGATTTGGCAGGGTCATAGGACAATAGTGGAGGGAAGGTCAGCAGATAAACATGTGAACAAAGGTCTCTGGTTTTCCTAGGCAGAGGGCCCTGCCGCCTTCCGCAGTGTTTGTGTCCCTGGGTACTTGAGATTAGGGAGTGGTGATGACTCTTAACGAGCATGCTGCCTTCAAGCATCTGTTTCACAAAGCACATCTTGCACTGCCCTTAATCCATTTAACCCTTAGTGGACACAGCACATGTTTCAGAGAGCAGGGGGTTGGGGGCAAGGTTATAGATTAACAGCATCCCAAGGCAGAAGAATTTTTCTTAGTACAGAACAAAATGGAGTCTCCTATGTCTACTTCTTTCCACACAGACACAGTAACAACCCGATCTCTCTTTCTTTTCCCCACACTTCCCCCCTTTCTATTCAACAAAACCGCCATCGTCATCATGGCCCGTTCTCAATGAGCTGTTGGGTACACCTCCCAGACGGGGTGGCGGCCGGGCAGAGGGGCTCCTCACTTCCCAGACGGGGCGGCGGGGCAGAGGCGCCCCCCCCACCTCCCGGACAGGGTGGCTGGCCGGGCGGGGGCTGCCCCCCACCTCCCGGACGGGGTGGCTGCCGGGCGGAGATGCTCCTCACTTCCCAGACAGGGCGGCTGCCGGGCGGAGAGGCTCCTCACTTCCCAGATGGGGCGGCTGCCGGGCGGAGGGGCTCCTCACTTCTCAGACGGGATGGCGGGTCAGAGACGCTCCTCACCTCCCAGACAGGGTGGCAGCGGGGCAGAGACACTCCTCAGTTCCCAGACGGGGTCGCAGCCGGGCAGAGGCGCTCCTCACATCCCAGACGGGGCGGCGGGGCAGAGGCGCTCCCCACACCCCAGATGATGGGCGGCCCGGCAGAGACACTCCTCACTTCCTAGACGGGATGACGGCAGGGAAGAGGCGCTCCTCACTTCCTAGACTGGGCAGCCGGGCAGAGAGGCTCCTCACATCCCAGACAATGGGCGGCCAGGCAGAGACGCTCCTCACTTCCTAGATGGGGTGGCGGCCAGGCAGAGGCTGCAATCTCGGCACTTTGGGAGGCCAAGGCAGGTGGCTGGGAGGTGGAGGTTGTAGCGAGCCAAGATCACGCCACTGCACTCCAGCCTGGGCAACATTGAGCACTGAGTGAGCGAGACTCCGTCTGCAATCCCAGCACCTCGGGAGGCCGAGGCTGGCAGATCACTCGTGGTCAGGAGCTGGAGACCAGGGGGGCCAACAGGGGGAAACCCCGTCTCCACCAAAAAATACAAAAACCAGTCAGGCGTGGCGGCGCACGCCTGCAATCCCAGGCACTCGGCAGGCTGAGGCAGGAGAATCAGGCAGGGAAGTTGCAGTGAGCAGAGATGGCGGCAGTACAGTCCAGCCTCGTATCAGCTCGGCATGGGAGGGAGACCGTGCAAAGGGGAGAGGGAGAGGGGGAGAGGGGGAGGGGAGAGGGAGGGGGGAGAGGGGGAGGGAAGAGAGGGAGAGAGGGAGAGGGAGAGGGAGAGGGAGAGCTATTTTTTGATATTTCTTATAGAAACTTTATTGAGATATAATGGATACAGTTTACCCATTTAAAGAGCACAGTTAAATGAATTTTATTATATCCAGAGAGTTGTGCAACTATCACTGCAATCAATTTTTAGGACATTTACATAATCTCAAAAAGATACCTGATACCCATTAACAGTCACTTCCAATTTTTCCCAAACTCCTCAGCCCTAGGCAATCACTAATCTACTTTCTGTAGATGTACATATTTTGAACATTTTCTGTCAGTGTACTCACACAATACGTGGTCTTTTGAAACGAACTTTACTTAGCATAACATGTTGAAGGGTCATCCATGTTGGTGCATGAACCAGTTATTCATTTCTTTTCATGGCTACATAATGTGCCATTGGATGAATACATCACATCTTATTTATTCATTAATGGCTATTTTGGATTGTTTCTACTTTTGGCTATTATTAATAATGTTGTTTTGAACATTTATGTACAAGCTTATGTGTAGGCATAAGTTTTAATTTCTCTTGGTTGTATATCTAGGAGTGGAATGCTGAGTCATATAATAACTCTATGTTTAAACCCTTGGGAAACTGCCAGACTGTTTGCCAAATAAATTGCACCATTTTACATTCCCACCAACAATGTATGAGGGTTCCAATTTCTCCACTCCCTTGGCAACCCTTTTATTATCTGTCTTTTTTACTGTAGCCAATCTGGTGGCTAAGCAATATCTCATTGTTGTTTTGATTTCCGTTTCCCTAATGACTTATGACATTGACCATCTTTTCATGTGCCTATTGGGCATTTATATGTCTTCTTTTGAAAAATGTCTATTCAGATACTTTGGCCCATTGTTTAATTGGGTTATTTGTCTTTCTAAAGTGTTGAATTGTAAGAGTTATTTATGTATTCTAGCTACAAGTCTCATCAGATATATGATTTACAAATACGTTCACCCATGTTGGTGTCTTCACTTTCTCGATGGTATCCACTGATACACAAAAGTTTTTCATTTTGATGAGTTCCAATTCATTCATTTATTTTTTGTTGTTCCTTGTGCTTTTGATGTCATATCTAAGAAACCATTGCCTATTTCAAGGTCATGAAGATTTATATCTATGATTTCATCTAGTTGTTTATAGTTTTAGCTGTTACATTTAGGCCTTTTACCCACTATAAGTTAATTTTTGTATATGATGTAAAGTAGGGGGTCCAACTTCATTCTTTTTCATGTGCACATCCAGTTTTCTTAGCACTATTTGCTATTTGTTGAACAGACTGTTCTTTTTTCATTGAATTGTCTTGGCACCTGTACTTGATTTTAATATTCATATACTGTGTCTCACATTGAATAAGCATCCTTAATTTTGAGGAGAGAAATTTAATAAGCATTTTCCTTAATTTCTGTGCTTTTGAAAGTCCTAGGTTTCAAGAATATTCTCCTACATTAAAAAAATTAACTTTCTACATTTACCTTTCCCATTTAGGCCCTTTAATCCTTTTGAAATCTATGTAAATATTATTAGGTAAAGATCTGCTTTTATTTTCCTGCATATACAAAAAACCTTTAAAATAATTATAATAAATAATATTTATGGATAGACAATTTAATATTTTAAACATCTCAATATTCTTCACCAAAGTAATCCATCATATCAATGCAAACCCAATAAAAATACTAGAATTTTTTCTGGAAATTGATACAAATATTATAAAAATTTGGAGTAAAATCTGAGAGCTAAGAATAGTCAAGATAATGTGAAAGAATAACAAAATGGAAGACTTACTTTATGAGATATCTAATCATATTATAAAGCTACAATATCAGTGTGGCATTTGCTTAAAGATATATAGATAAAGGAAGAGAATAGAGTGTAGATCAAAGTAAATACTGTCATTTCATTTGTGAAAAGAATATGCTACTGTACAGATTATAAAAATTCTTTTTAATATGTGCTTCTTCATCAATTAGATATCCACATGGGAAAATATATATTCGTCTGTACTTCACAGAATTCACAAATATAACTTTCAGAAAAAATGCAGATCTAATTTTGGAAAGTAAAGCAATGACACTTAGGGAAACAAAAGAACCTGTTTGTTGCCCTGAAGTGGAAAAAAATATTATATGAGACCAAAATAATCCACAATTTTTAAAAAATTAGGTGACTTAGATTATTTTAAAAATGAAGAACTTCTCTTAATTAAGGCACCAATGAGAAAATGAAAAGGTAATTCTCAAATTGAGAAAATTTGTAAACCATATATGTGACAAAAGATTCATATCCTGAGCATATAAGAATACGTAAATCCTAAAATCTGTAAGAAAAGTCAGGCAAACAAATCAGAAAAATGTAAAAATAACTGAACAGATAGTTCAGAAAAGATGACATAAATACTCAATAATCAAATAAAAAGATACTCAAGTTCTTGAGTCATCAAAGAAACTCAAAATATTATGAGAACTCCACTACATTCCAACCATAAAGGTTAAAATTAAGAATTAGTCAAAGAAAGGTTGACAAAAATGCAAATACTTGCATCGTGTAGGAATGTAGTTTTATACAACCACTTTGCAATAAAGTTTTGCAGTAATTACTGAAGCTGAGTAGTTTTAGTGCTACCACTAAAACTTTCAGTGCTATTACTAAAACTGTCGTATAACCCTTAGATCCATGCTTATATATATATTATCAATAGAAGGAGATTCATATGTTCAGCAAAAGACATGTCTTTTTATGTTTATACAAACACTAATTTTATTTTATTCATTTTTTATTTATGTTTTTTTTTTGAGATGAAACCTTGCCCTGTCACCCAGGCTAGAGTGCAGTGCTGCAATCTCAGCTCCCTGCAACTTCTGTCTCCCGGGTTCAAGCAATTCTCCTGCCTCAGCCTCCTGAGTAGCTGGGATTATAGGCACATGCCACCAAGTCAAGCTAATTTTTGTATTTTTAGTAGAGACAGGGTTTCACCATGTTGGCCAGGATGATCCAGAACTCCTGAACTTGTGATCCGCCCATCTCAGCCTCCCAAAGCTCTGGAATTACAGGTGTGAGCCACCACACCCAGCCTACAAGCACTGATTTTAATAACCAAGGACAAGAAACTACACAAAATCAACGATTAAATGAATTAATAAGTTATGTGATATTTATACATTAAAATAATACATATTAATGAGAGTAAACCAGTTATATTCACTTCCAACAGCATGGATAAATGTCACGGACATAATGTGGACAAATAAAACACAAAATTGTACATATTTTTTCTATTTATATGAAGTATAAAAAATAGCAAAGCAAATCTATGCTATTATAAATCAGAACAGTGCCTACCTTGAGAGAAAAGTAGGAATTTGAATTGGGCACGAACGTTTTTAGGGTGATGTGCTAATGCAGGTCCTCTTAGAAATAAAAATGCAGCCAGGCGAAGTGGCTCATGCCTGTAATCCGAGCACTTTGGGAGGCCAAGGTGGGCAGGATCACCTGAGTTCGGGGTTCGAAACCAGCCTGACCAACATGGAGAAACCCATCTCTACAAAAAATACAAAATTAGCCGGGCATGGTGGCCCATGCCTGTAATCCCAGATACTCAGGAGGCAGAGGCAGGAGAATCACTTGAACACAGGAGACGGAGTTTGCAGTGAGCCAAGATCTCGCCAGTGCACTCCAGCCTGGGCAACAAGAGTGAGACTCTGTCTCAAAAAAATAAATAAATAAGAAAAATAAAAAGGAAAGAAAGAAAAAAAATGCAAAGGCAGAATTAGTTGTGTAAGAATTTTATTAGGGGAAATGATTGTGAGAGAAAACAGGAGAGAAGCTGCACCATGATGTAAATCTAACACTGAGTAAAGAACAAAAGGCAGCCCAGGGAACAAAGTGAGACTCTGTCTCTACAAAAAAATACAAAAACTAACTGGGTGTGGTGGCACGTGCCTGTAGTCCCTGCTACTTGGGAGGCAGAGGCTGGAGGATCACTTGAGCCGGGGAGGCAGAGGTTGCAGTGAGCCAAGATTGTGCCACTGCACTTCAGCCTGGGTGACAGAGTGAGACCCTGTCTCAACAACAACAACAGCAACAACAACACAACAACAAAGGAAGATTTGATAAAATCATTCTAGACTTCCATACAGCTTAAGAAAAGTTACATTAGGCCAGGTGCAGTGGCTTACACCTGTAACCCAGCACTTTGGGAAGCCAAGGCGGGCGGATCACCTGAGGTCAGGAGTTCAAGACCCACCTGGCCAACATGGTGAAACACCGTCTCTACTAAAAATACAAAGATTAGCTGGGTGTGGTGGCATGTCTGTAATCCCAGCTATTTGGGAGACTGAGGCAGGAGAATCCTTTGAACCCTGGAGGTGGAGGTTGCAGTGAGCCGAGATCGCACCACTGCACTCCAGCCTGTATAACAGAGCGAGACTAAATTTCAAAAAAAAGAAAGAAAAGTTATATTAAAGAAAAAGCCATTAAAGTCAGGTATTCACAATCTTATCTATCCAACAGAGAAGATCCATGTCTCCCTGAACAGGTCTACCTTAGAATCCTTACTGCTCTCAGATATTGACTGGGAGCAGCAGCCTTCAGAAAATCTGGCCTTGATGCAAACACAGGATTGACCTTAAAACACAACAATAGGGGTCTTTGGTTACTTGCATTAAAATATTTGTGAAATACATTTTCATGGCTACCACATGCTGGTTATGTGCAGTTTCTTGATACAGATGCTGGTATTTTGAGTGTGTTGAAAATTAAACAATCATGACACATATGACATATACATTTTTCTACATATATTTATACTTCAATGAAAATTTAAAATATGTGGTGCTATTCAGATACTGGACAATTCAATGTTGTAAAGCTATCAGTGCTCCTTTGAATAATCTATATATTTAATAAAATTCTCAGCAGTTTTTTGGTGAAAACTGGCAAGCTGAGTCTAAAATCTGTAAACAAAAGCAACAGTCAAGAATAACCAAAACATCAAAAGAAAATAGAAAGAGGTGGGTTTATGCGATAAGACATCAAGACATTTTATGTATTTGCAGTAATTAAAAGTGTGCTATATATGCAAATATGAATAGACTAATGGAAGATAATAGAAAGTTCAGAAACAGATTTACATATATCTAGTCATTTGATATTTGACAAAGATAATAAAATGGAGAAATCTCTTAAGAAGTGAGGATATTGTATATTCTTCACATAGAAAAATAATTAATCTTGACCTTTAGCACATCCCATATGTAAATATCAATATGATATGGAATATAGATCTTAAAATTAAAAGATTTTTTTAAATAGCTACTAAAATATCTTTGTGACCTTCTCTAATGTTGGCAACGATTTTTTAAAGTACCAACTGAAAAGTAAAATTAAAAAACTTAAAATGAGAATGGTTGTTTATCAAATGTACCATAAGGAAAGTGAAAATGCTGGCCACAGTTGAAAAGATAATCACAATACACACATATGTCAAAAGGCTTGTAAGCAGAATATAAAGAAATCCTATAAATACAAGAATAAGACTGACAACCAAATAGACAAATCAACAAATCACTTGAGTAAGCACTATATGAAGAATATACAAATGTACAAGGCTTCAGATACATGCTCTGTTTGCTCAACTTCATTAGTCATTACAGCAGTATAAATTAAACCCTCAATGAGACAACTCTATTGCCATACCAGAATCACTGATTTTTTAAAAATTACTCGTGTATAACTGACATGTTATATCTTTTGACCAATATGTCCCAACCCCTCCACTCCAGCCCCTGGTAACCAGCATTATACTCTACTTCTTTTAAAAAATTAGAATGGTGAATTTAAAAAATAATTTAAAAATAATTTAAGTCTGACAACACCAAACATTGGCAAGCACGTGGAGCAGATGGAACTCTACCACGGTCCTTGTAAGAGTGTAAATTGGTACAATCACTTTGGAAAATGTTTCACAGTATCTGCTAGAGTTAAATTTATGTATTCTCCATGACACAGAAATTCCACTTCTAGCAAGCAGAAACACACACACATGTGCACCCCGAAATATATACAAGATTTCACCCATGGGATGTAGTGTGCCTACACTTGCTCTACAGTAACAAAATAAGTAAACAATTGCTATAAAACAGCAGCATAGTTCAATCTCACAAACATAATGTTGGGCAAAACAGAGACACAAAAGGATATATACAATATGGTTTCATATATATAAAGATAAAAGGAAAAGTAGTCAATGGTGATAGAAGTTAGGAAAGTGATTATAGTTGAGAGAGAGGGGTAGTGTCTGAAAAGGAGCAGAAATGGTTCAATATCAGTCAGGGTTCAATCAGAGAAGCAGAATCACTAGGATTTTAGGGACAAGGACATTTTAAAGTAGGAATTAGGTAAACAAACATGGGAAGACAAATCAGAGATGGTAGGACTTCTGAGAATTGAGGCATGTCCCACTACTGAAATGGAACTGTTAACAGGAATCATGGTAAGTTTAGTGAATTCTATCAACATGAGCCCAATGGATACAATTCATTTTTTGAAAAATGACTGCCCTGGTCACAAGAAATGCTGGGTGGAATTCCATGGCAGAAAATAAAACATTTTGTAAAGTCCACATGTGATGCTTTTATCAGAAACATTGGAATAGGAAAGGCAAATTCATATCTAGAGTAATTGTCTTTTCCACTGAAAACAAAGTGCTGTCTCCTCCATGATCAAAGTGGTCCGGTGTAATCAAATTCCAGCAGGAGGTTGGTAGTCCCCTTTGAAGAACAGTGCCTATCTGAGGTCCAGTGTTAGTCCATACTTTTGATAGCTTGGCCATATAAATGTGGTTGTAGCCAGATTGGATTTAGTAAATGGAATTTCATAGTACTGAACTAATAAGCTCCATTTCTTCCACCATGACTACACTGTTCATGCACCCACTGGGAATGGACATGGTTGACTAGAGAAAAATCTTGAAGAATATTCACAGAATGTACCATCTTGATCACCTGATTATTAAGCTCATCTTCTGGTGAGGTTGCTGATTATTGACAATTAAATAGGCCGCAAGTAATTTTATATTCTGCTCATTAAAAGTAGTCCACTCACATACCTCATTGTCAATTTGCCTTGTCAACCAATTATCAATCATGCTTCTTTGAAGTCCATGACCATCCAGCAAAACTATTCATCCCCCTGGCATCATTCCTTCTGGGAAAAAAAAAAACTATGAAGTACACTACTCAAAATTCTAACAAATGGGAATATTTTCTTTTACCACTCTCCTTTGGGGCCACCACAGCCTGAGGCTGTAGTGTGCCAGCTGTCCGGTTTTAGGTGATGCTAGAACATTATGCAGAATTACCTATAAAGCAGGTCCACATGTTTCTTCTTCATTCAATTGATTATAGCAAACTCCTCATGAAGTCAAATGTATGGACTAAAAGACTGGTGTCACCGTAGCAGGACAAATGGAGCCAGGGAAGGTGATGAAAAGAAGGTTCTCATGCACATATACCTGATAAGAGGAACGATCACAAAGACTGCAAAAATCACAACAACCTTGCACAAAGGCCACCACAACCTTACACATACAAAAATACTTTGGTTAAGACAGCTGCCCAGCAACTGGCTGTCCAACCTTGAACTACTACCACCTTTGTTAGTGATCCTTGTAGCCAAAGATAATTGTTTCAAAAAACTCATGTAACCCTCCTCACTTCTTTAAAAGCCCTTGTCTTTCTTTACCTCCCTGAATACACCCACTATATTCCCATTGCAATACTCATTCCTGAATAAATACAATTTTCTTTTAGACATCTTCTCTCTGTGTCTGCTATTTAGGTTGACATAAAGTTTGTGTCAAGAAGTCAGCTGACCTCAAACAGGCCAGCATCCCCTGGAATCTAGTGAGGTACCAACATTGACCCCTTTTGTGGCCTCTGCTTCTATGGCCTTCCTTCTCTGCTCTGGTGAATCTCTGCTTAGATTCTCAGACGTCCTTCGTTTGGTAAGTTCTTTTGACTTTATTCAGGATCTGGATTTGGCTATAAGGCCACCTTAAATTAAGGACCTTGCAACCCTTGTGGGACTACAAAAGACTTTTTGTCTTTTCTGGAAAGCCTCTTCTGGTATAAGGCCAAGTGTTCTTTTGGAGAGTACTCTGGTTCCCACAGAACTTACGTTCTGTGAGGCATGTATTTTCTACTGAATTTGCTTTGGTTTTTCTGCAAACACGGTTTTATATTTTGTTTGCTCTGCAAGCCTGGCTTAAAATTTTTGTGAGCACGCTTCATTTGGTTTCATGTCAATTTGGTTACATGCAACTGTAAATAATTTGGCTCTTTTGTTTTCCCTGCTTGTTTCTGAACACTTTCAAAGAGCAAAAATAAACATTCTAAATGGCACAGTATATTACTGTTTTAATGTATCATGACTAAAATTTTAAAGGGAAAAGGGAAAATATCTTTTTGTGTTGTCTGTATGTTCTTGTGTCTATATATGTATGTAATATTTTCTACCAAAATGTATGAAAGAGCTCTATTTAACTGACTTAAAGAAAAAAATTAAGCACTTAAGTAATTTATCAGAAAAATAGTAGTTAACTCACATTTTTTTAAAGTTCACATGACTTAGGTAAATCTTTGGTAAATAAACTGATTTTAGTGGACAATTAAAGCCACTAGGACCAGGCATGGTGGCTTGTGCCTGTAATCCCAGCCAGCTGGGAGGCTGAGATGAGAGAAATACATGAAACCAGGACTTCCAAACCAGCCTGGGCAACATAACAAGACCCTGTCTCTAAAAATATTTCTTTAGAAATTAGCCAGATGTGGTGATGCACGCGTGTCTCCCCAGCTACTCAGGAGGCTGCGATAACAGGATCACTTTGCCCAGGAGTTCAACGCTGTAGTGAGCTGTGATTGTACCACTGCACTCCAGCCTGGGCAACAGAGTGAGACCTTGTATCTAAACAACAACAGTAACAACAAAATAAGAATAATAATAAATGCCACTAGGAACGTCACTGCCATCTATGACGGACTCCAGTCTCCAAAGAAAACGTCTCCCATGTAAGGATAAAATAGTCACAGACAAGGAAGATTACCACTGAGGCACCTGCCAGTCTCAAGAAAATTTCTACACAACCAGGGAAAACTTGGTCATAGGTTAGACAACTAGGACAAAGGCCATCTGCCAAGTATAAAAAGATGAATTCTGTGTCAGGTACACTAGTTAAAACAAAACAGCTTGGTCAATGCTTTTGACAAAATTTTTGGGCTTTTCTTTGCTCTTGAGAGATTGATAAGAAATGCAATGGGATCTTCAACTTCTAAAGAATGCCAAGCCCTCTGGCACTTGAGGCAGCTATACATTTGAAATTTATGGTCCTTTCTCATGCACATTTAAAAAATAATTGGCAAATTACACTAAGGATAATGTACGGCCATTATGGGAATTATTTAAACTCTCTAAGCTTGTTTCCTTAGAGCTGAATTAAGAGACTGGAACTGTAGGATTAACATGTACGGGCTTCTAAGCTAGCTCTCTTTTTTTCTCTGCTCGCTCTGAATCTGCTAACTTGTTTGCTTGTATTAAATTTGTTAATAAGTTCAAGGATTCTTGGAAGTTTATTTTTCTAGCCAATCCTAACTGAAATGTAAATATCCAGAAGTTAATTAAAACAACTCATTTAAAATTGAAGAGGAAAAAAGGGTAAAAGATTTTTCAAAAACTAAAATGCTATAAAAACAGCTTTACCCAAAATTTGGTCCACTTCCCTCATAAGATTACCTATCAAAGGCAAAAGAAAAAAAAAAGATTAGCAATATGAAAAACTGATCTTAACTTGTCCCATTTTTTCAGAAATATAATTTGGATCCAACTGTCTTTTTTTATACACTTGTGATTTTATATTAGTATATTTTACAGTTTCTTGACTACAATTTTACAGTGATAAGCTATAAGATCTTTTTGTGTTTCTGTATGTTTCTTGGTCTGTGTTATACATACATAATATTCTTCTACAGAAATATATAAAAGAACTTTATGAAACTGATGTAAAGAAAAAAAATTAAGCAATTTATCAGAAAAAATAGTAAATAACTATTTACTAAAAATAGTAATAAACCCAACTTTTAAAAATTTGTGTGACTTAGGTAAATCTTTGGTAAATAAACTGATTTTAAAATTGTTGTTAAAATAGTGAGGTCTTCAGAATTGCAAGCATACATTTTGCCTGGATATATTTGTCAGACAATTTTCTTTTTATATAAGATGAATCTTATGGAAAAAATTTGTGTTTAATCAAGTTGCCTATAGTTAAAAGGGAATTATTCACAGGTTTTATCAAAAATTGAGTATTAATACAGTGATACAAAACCAGAATCCATTCACCTATGTTTAAAGCAACAAGGTTTTCTTGATGTATTTATGTGATTTTAGTTAAAAAAAATCTGCAAGAGGTTTTGATATTCTGAAATCCGTTTAAATTTTCAGCCGTCTTCTGAACTGCAGCTTTTTCCTGTTTTACACTTTCCACTTAATTTCCCTTATTCCAGCTTTAAAATACTATCTCCCTCATTTAAAAATAGTAATTTAGTTTCTCAAAAGAACTTTCCTTTTGAAGCTTTTCAAATTCATATCTCAGTTCCACTTTGCTGTATCTCATTGCACATGATTTGATGAGAAACATGCTTCATGTTGTCTTTAATTAGGTTTTTGATTACTTAGGTGCTTTGAAAGAATTAAGGTTTGTTTTTTTTACATCTACGTAAAGTTCTGCATTTGTTTTTGGAAGCTTTTTTCACTCTGATTAAGTGAACGACTAAAATCATGCATCATTGCCTTCAGCTCTTCCTTGTCTCCTTAGGGATGATAACCCTCTCCCTCAACTTTGGAGTCAGCTCCTGTAACTCTCTCCCTCTCTCACCTCTCACTCCTCTTGCTTCTCTCGCTCTCTCGCTCGCTCTCTCTCTGGCTCTCTCTCCAGTTCTGACTCTGCTATTGTGGCCTAACACTAAAAATGTTTGTCTTTAAGGCCTAGGAGAATCTAGGGGAATAATATTTTCTTCCAGTATAATTTGATTCTGTAATTTTGTCTTTTCTTGATGTGTCTGAATTGCTGTTTAACCAATAAATTCCACATTCTTTTACTTTTTCTAAGAGCCACATATCCGCCTGCTCAAGGTACTTGTTTTCTTGTTTATCTTTTCTATAATATGGTACACTCATAACCTTGGATACACACTCTTCCAGTGTTTAGTTGAATTCAAGTACCTTTTCATCAGGCTCAACTTCCAGGTTATTGAAATGGGTTTCCCATAGGGAGAAGCAATCACAAGGGGTTTTTAAATATGTAGAAGGTTTTTATCTTTTGATAGCTGGCCTAGGAAACAAAGATTTTTTGTTTTATCAAAATAATTTCTCATGCTTCATGTTGTCTTTATTAGGTTTTTCATTACTTAGGAGCTTTGAAAGAATTAAGGTTTTTTTTTTTAATCCATGTAATGTTCTGTATTTGCTTTTGGAATCTCTTTTCACTCTGATTAAGTGAATGACTATTATTCCACAATAATCTGTGATTCTGTTTTAATTAAATGTTTTAACCATTTTGACATTTTTGGCAGGTCTCTCCAGGATCAAAGTTCTAAATTAAGTCTTTTTGACCTATAATTAACTGAGAGATTTTCCAGTTGGGCCCCTGGAGAACCTTAAAGGAGGTATCATCTTGTAGAGATGTTAAACTAATTTGGCTTATTTGATTAATTGTATGGGAATCAATGTCAAATAATAAAGTGATGCTATATTTTCTTTAAGTTACATGGATATGTTATTGATGTATATTAAATATTATGTGAAATTTAAAAAGGTCTGATGGTCCTGATGTAATGCTATCAACCACGATTCTGGTTGTTACCTTAAAATGCTAAATACAATAGAAATAATTGAATTTCCTTCTCAACTGCTGAACTCCCATCAGATTTTTAATGATGGTTATTCTAAGTCTTTGACATCCATAGTTTTGATTTTTCTCTAAAGGTATCTGCAATCAGATTCATGGAAAAGACTCTAATAAGTACTCTTAAATACAAGTTTCTAATAACTTCAAGATTAATGAACTAAATAAAACTTTTCACAACTGCAGTGAAGAAACTGATGAATTTGTGAAACTGCTAATCAAGATCAAGCATAACAAAAACTAATTACATGAAATTGAATAACTGATAATGTTTTTATAACTTTTAATTTAAACATTGTTGGTTTTTTACTGAAATGTTTTGTCTTCCAAGTTTAAGGAAACATTTTCTCTTAAGCTATCTATAGTTTACAACAATTTGGTAAAATATACTTCTGTGAACAAAGGTGGAAATATTTATTTTTTTCTATTTGATCCCTTCAAAATTTGGAAGTGATTTGCTAGTGTTTCTTAAATGACAATATAATTATTTGCATACATTCAGTATGAATCTGTACCTCCTTGTAACATGATACAGTTAAAAACATTGGTTGTATTACCAATTAAAACTGGAATGCCATATTTAAATTTTTATTGGTACTGCAAACAAAGTCTGAAGTCTGCCTTTGTTTGGCTTTCTAGACTCAAGGAGGTTTAAAATCTGAGATTCTTGGCCAGGCACGGTGGCTCACACCTGTAATCCCAGCACTTTGGGAGGCCGAGGCGGGCGGATCAAGAGGTCAGGAGATCAAGACCATCCTGGCCAACATGGTGAAACCCCATCTCTACTAAAAATACAAAGAAAATTAGCCAGGCGTGGTGGCGGGCGCCTGTAGTCCCAGCTACTCGGGAGGCTGAGGTAGGAGAATGGCAGGAACCCGGGAGGCGGAGCTTGCAGTGAGCCGAGATCGCGCCACTGTACTCCAGCCTGGGCGACACAGCGAGACTCCGCCTCAAAAAAATAAAATAAAATAAAATCTGAGATTCTTTTGTGCTCAATTTACTACTCTTGCTGCTCTTATGTAAATTATTAAGTAATAAATAAACTTTAAAAAACTAAAATAATAAAACTAATAAAATAATACAAGAACCTAAAATAATAATAAAACTAAACTTATTTACAAACAAATCAGTCTTACTGTAATTATCTTTGGTAGAAATTAGGATAACTATATAGAGACAAAATTATGTTTCTAGAAAAGGACTATAATACATCTGTTATTAGATTGTAGTTCTGTGCATTGTCTTTGAGTTTTTATTATCTACTGTAGACCAGACTGGATCCTAAGTTATTCTAGGTTCCCTAATCTAATTTTCTCCCATGTTATTACTAAGAATGGGAACTACTCTTTCCTAAAGCCCTGTAAGCTGAAGCTAGAAAACTTGATGTAAATTTTAAGAGACAAGCCTCATGCCTGATTTGTGGGTCATGCAGAAAGTTCACCAAACCACCCGATGCTATAACGAGAGACATTCAAACTACAAACCAGGATGAGAAGTTGATGTCTTTATGCTGTGGACAGCTTTCTCAAGATGCCAGAACAATCTTTATCATAATGAGACTGTTGCCCCTCTTAGTTTGTCCTTGCCTATGCTTAACTTTTTCACTGGGCAGGATAATGGTGTAGTTAAAATTTTACAATTAGTAGCTTATGTGGACAACTTGACAAAATGTTAGATCTGTTATGCCAACTGTAGATCTTTACATGACCAAAGAATCCTTTAGTCCAACTTTAAAAATATTCCTAATACAACTGTCACTCACTCTATGCTTTTAATTCAACCCAGTCATGAGATATCAGATGACAAAATTTTTCTATATTATCTACTGGTTAAATAAGGTAGTGTCTATGCTATTGCTAGGACTACATGCATACCTGGATAAATTCCTCTGGGGAAGTTGAGACCCAAATACACAAAATAAGAAAACACGCACATAGTTACATTAGGTCTCACCTAATTCCCAATGATCATTTGATTGATTCAGTTGCTTGCCTTTAAGCCCAGGTTCATGGCTCGAAACCATTATGCAAACTGGGATGATCATATTAGTATAAATTTTACTTCGTATCTTTCTTTTTAAACTTTGTACCTGTTGCCTGTCAAATTTCTGTGGAAGTACAACTCCTAACACAATAATGCTGGCCTACAGCTTTGAAATAATAGCCCACACCTACAGAACAAACAAAATTGAACTTAACAACGGACTCCAGGTAGACCTAGCCTAAGAGCCACTCCCTCCAAACCTCCATTGTTGCTCAAATGTCATGACCTTACACAAACAAAACTACTTCCATGAAGACATCTACCCAGCAACTGGCTGTCCAACCTTGGACTGATACCACCGTTGTTACTGAACCCTGTGGTCAAGAAAAATTGTTTCAAAACAACTTATGTGGCCCTTTTCATTTTTCCTTATAAAACTCTTGTCTTCATTTACCTCCCTGAATATACCCACTGTATTCCCATTGAAATGCTCATTCCTGAATAAATGTAATTTTATTTTAGAGAGACTCTGTCTCTTCTATTTAGATTGACATTTATATCAGACAAAATAGACTTAAGACAAAAACTGTCACAAGAGACAAAGAAGGATATCATATAATGATTAAAAGTTCAACTCACTAGGAAGATACAACAATGACAGTTGTTCCTCAGTATTCACAGGGGATTAGTTCCAGGACACTCTGTGGATACCAAAATCCATGGATACTCAAGTCCCTTACATAAAATGGCACAATATTTGCATATAACCTATGCACATCCTCTCATATACTTTAAATCATCTCTGGGCTATTTATAATTCCTAATATTATGTCAATACCATGCAAATAGTCATTATATTGTATTGTTTAGGGAATAATCACCCAAAAAAGTTGGTACATATTCAGTACAAATGCAACGGTTCATTCTTTTCAAATATTTTTGATCCAAGATTAGTTGAATCTGTGGATGCAGAACCTGCAGATACAGAGGGCTACGTAAATATATATGCACCTAACATTAGAGTGCCCAAATATATAAAACAAACATTGACAGAACTGAATGGGGAATAAACAGCAACACAATAATAGTAGGATACTTTAATATCCCACTTTCAATTATGGATAGAACTAGACAGAAGATCAATGAGGAAACGGAGGACTTGAACAACACTAAAGACCAACTGGATCTAACAGATACATACAGAACACTTCACCTAACGACAGTAAAATGCACATTCTTCTCAAGTGTGCATGAAACATTCTCCAAGATAGACCATGTTAGGCTATATTACAAGTCTTAATAAATTTAGGAAGACTGAAATTATACAAAGTATCTTCTCTAACTATACTGGAATAAAACTACAAATTAATAGTAGAAGGAAAACAAGAAATTCCACAAATATGTGGAAATTAAACAATGCATGCTTAAACAACCAATGGGCCAAAAAATAAATCATAAAGGAATTTAGAAAACATCAGGAGACAAATAAAAACAGAGATACAACATTTCAAAACTTATGAGATGCAGTGAAAGCAATCCAAATAGGGACATTTATATTGGTAAACACTTACCTTTAAAAACAAGAAATATCTCAAATCAACAACCTAAGCTTATACTTTAAGGAAATAGGAAAAGAAGAACAAGCAAACCAAAAGTCAGCGGAAGGAATAAAATAGTAAAGATTAGAGTAGAAAATAGAGAGAAGAAAATAACTTTTAAAAAGAAAATTAAGAGTCTGTTTTGAAAAGATTAACACAATTGACAAATTAATTAGTAAAAATAATTAAAATTAATTTCTTAGCTAGATTAAGAAAAAGAGAAGACTCAAATATTTAAAATTAGAAATGAAAGAGGAGACATTATGACTGATGTCACAGAAATAAAAAAAGTATAAGAGATTACTATGAAGAAGAATACACCAACAGATTGGATAACCTAGAAGAAATGGATAAACTAGGAATATGCAACCTATCAAGACTTAATCATGAAGAAATTTTAAGAAAACAACTGAACAGGTGTATAACTAGTGAGGCATTGGACGTAGTCATCAAAAGCCTCCTAAGAAAGAAAACTCTAGGACCTGATGGATTCACTGCAGAATTCTACCAAATATTTAAAGAAGAATTAACATACAAATTCTTCTTAAATTCTTCCAAAGAAGTGAAGAGGAAGGAACACTCTCAAACTCATTCTATAAGTCATCATTAACCTGATACCAAAAGCAAAGACACACAAGAAAATAAACTGTAGACCAATATCTCTGATAAATATTGATGCAAAAATCCTAAACAAAACACTAGCAAACTAAATTTAACAGCACACTAAAAGAATCACAGGTCATGATCAGGCAAGATTTATACCTGGTATAATTCAACATATAAAAATCAATCAATGTAATACACCACATAACAAAATAAAGGGCCTTTCATGATTAAAAAAAAAAAACCACTTAACTAGAAATGAAAGGAAAGTACCTAAATATAATGACAGCCATATATGAAAAGCCCACAGTTAATATCATATTCAATGGAGAAATACTGAAAGCTTTTACTCTAAGATCAGGAACAAGGCAAGGATGCCCAACTTACCACTACTATTTGACATAGTACTGGATATTCTAGCCAGGTCAATCAGAAAGTTTTTAAAAAGACATCCAAATTGGAAAGAAGAATTAAAATTTTCTCCATTTGCAGATGACTTGGTCTTATATGTAGAAAGATCCCACGTACACAAAAAAGCTACAACTAATAACTCAGCAAAGTTGCAAGATACAAAGTTAGCACTAAAAAATCAGTTGCATCTCTATATACTAGCAATCACCAACGTGAAAAGAAAATTTCATTTACTATAGCATCAAAAAGGGTAAAATACTGAGGAAAGAACTTAATCAAATAACTGAAATATTTTTACATTGAAAACTACAAAACATTGTTATTAATAAAAGAAGAAATCTAAGAAGATACAAATAAATGGGAACTCATCCTGTACTCAGGGGTTTGAAGACTTAATAATGTTAAAATTTCCATGCTACACAAAGTGATTTACAGATTCAATGCAATCACTATCAAAATCCCAATGACTTTTTTTCAGAAATAGGAAAAAAAAATTCTAAAATTTGTATGCAATCTCAGATGCCTCACACTCCCTAATTTCAAAACATACTTCAAAAGCAGCAGTAATTAACATGACGTGGTACTGGCATATAGACATATAACCAATATAACACAGAACCCAGAAATAAACCCCTGCATATATAACCAAATGATTTTGACAAGAGTGCCAAGATTACACAATGAGGAAAGGACAGTCTCTTCAAAAAATGGTAATGGGAAAACTGGATATCCATATGCAAAAGAATAAAGTTAGACCCTTACCTTACATTGTATACAAAAATTAAATAAAAATGGATTAAAGGCCTAAATGTAAGACCTAAAACTGTTAAAATCCTAGAAGAAAATATAAAGGAAAACCTTCAGAACATTAGATTTGGCAATTATTTCTTGGCTATCACAACAAAAGCACAGATAATGGAAAGAAAAATAGACAAATGGGATTATATCAAACTCAAAAACTTCTGTGCATCAAAAGAAACAATCAACAGAGTGAAAAGGTAGCCTGCAGAATGGAGGAAAATTGCAAGTTATATATCTGATAAAGGGTTAATATCCAGATTATATAAGAAACTTCTACAACTCTATAACAACAACAACAAAAAAACCCCAAATAATCCAATGAAAGAAATGGGCAAAGTTCTTAAACACACATGTCCAGAGAAGATACATAAATTGTCAATAAGTACATGAAAAGATGTTCAATATCATGAATCTTTTAGAAAATGCAAATCAAAACTGTAATGAGATATCACCTCACACCCACTATTGTGGTCACTGGTAAAGGAAGAGAAAAATAACAAGTGTTGTCAAGGATGTAACGTTGGAAGACCTGTGCACTGTTGGTGGAAATGTAAAATGGTATAGCCATTATGGAAAATAATATGGAGGCTCCTCAAAAAATTAAAAATAGAATTACTGGATAATCCAGCAATCCCACTTCCGGGTATATATCCAAAAGAACTCAAAGCAGGATCTCAAAGGAATAGATATTCATCACAGCATTATAGCCAAGATGTAGAAGCAATCCAACTGTCCATTGACAGAAGAATGGATAAAGAAAATGTGCTGTACACAGACAATGCAATATTATGCAGCCTTTAAAAAGAAGAAAATCCTGCCACATGGCACGACATTAATCAACCTCGAGAACATTATGCTAAGTGAAATAAGCAAATCACAAAAGGGCAAATACTGTAAGAGTCTACTCATGAAGTATCTAAAGTAGTCAAAATTATAGGAACAAAATTTAGAAAGGTAGTTACCAGGGGCTGGGAGGAGGGGGGAGGAAATAGTATCTAACTGGTATAGATTTTCAGTGCTGTGAGATGAAAAGTTCTATAGATCTGTTGCATAATATGAATACAATTTACACTAATGAATTGTACACTTAAAAATGTTAAGATAAAATATGGTTAAGATGGTAAATTTAGTGTTATGTGTTTTTGTACCATAATAAATGTTTAAAGTGAAGCACACACATACAAAACTCACTAAGAATCCTAGTAGTCATTGTGTCTCTTCCCTGGTGGTTTTAGAAGGGTCATATGCAGCTATTTGCTCTTCACTTTGGAACAGGTATCTTGGAATATCCGATACCACTGGTCCTTTAGAAATCTTTTTTTTTTTTTAATGGAGTCTCGCTCTGTCACCCAAGCTGGAGTGCAGTGGCGCAATCTCGGCTCACTGCAACCTCCACCGCCTCCCGGATTCAAGCAGTTCTCTGCCTCAGCCTCCTGAACAGCTGGGATTATAGGCGCCCGCCACCACACCCGGCTAATTTTTGTATTTTTAGTAGAGACAGGGTTTCACCATCCTGGCCAGGCTGGTCTTGAACCCCTGACCTCGTGATCCACCTGCCTCGGCCTCCCAAAGTGCTGGGATTACAGGCATGAGCAACCGCACCCGGCCAGTCCTCTAGGAATCTAATGAACATGGCCAGCTCCTGAATTTTTGTATTATCCATCTTCTAACCAAAATGTCTATTGTAATTGCTTCTTTCTGCTTAGAAAGTACAATCAGCATTGTATCTACAGAGTAGAGCAGGGGTCAGAAAGTTATTTCTGTAAAGAGCCGGGCAGTAAATATTTTAGGCATTGCAGATCACATGATCTCTGTGGCCTAACTACTCAACACTGTCATTTTAGCATAAAAGCACTCCTGGGTAATATGTAAAAACTGGTTATGGTTATGCTTCAATGAGACAATTTATAAAAACAAGTTGCAGGAGATTTAGTCCATGAAACATAGTTTACCAATCCCTGGGTAAATTGTGAAAAATACTGGAAAGTAGATACAGAACTGAGCTGGGACCTTAAAAGTGTATTGATGGCCCTACCAAACTAAACTTCTGTGGATGACATTTACAGGCAGGTATAGAGAAAAAGGCACATATTGGCTTGGTGGCTCTCTATATCAGGTGCCAGCAGACATGTTGATTTGCTGTAGAAATAAAACCACATCTGGAACTGCAAATGAAGTCAATTTCTAATTAAATTTCAAATAATTTCATGTAATTCTCTAGGATATAAGTATCTCTGCACACGTCAATTGAGTGAATCAATCAGCATATGAACATGAAGGTGATCTGGCTGCAACATCTGTCACCCTATTGATCACCAGGGTTGAATCAGGATGTGATAGAACCATAACCCTTGCAACTTTCAAGATACTGCTAGTGGCACTAACCTCTGCAATTCCTCCATGAATGTGGTTTTGCTTTCAGGTTATCATTTTTTTTGGCACATACAAAGCATTTATAGTGTTTGTCCTTGGCAAAATAGCCCTCTTTCCATGGATCAGGGAACATTCAGTATGAGGATTCTGTCAGCTATTGAATGCAGCTGGTGCAATTCTGCATTCTGAAACTTGGGAAATAATCAGAGGATGAGTTCAGGGCTCCATTCAGACCACCACAAACGGGCCTAAGCAAAAACATTCATTAATTATTCATCCTCTATAAGCCCTTCTGCTACCTGGTGGGCTACAGTGACATTTTAGGGTTCTCAGAGTTAATGTCAATTCAGCTCTAGTGACCAGTAATCAATCCCTCCATATTCAGGCTGTTTCCAATTACCTAATCACAGCTCCATTAAATATGGTTGCCAAGTCACTTTGCAGAAGTGCAGGATGATTTATGGTAGTATAAGTCAGTTTCGGCAGCGTATCAGTGTACTTTCTCAAGAAGACTTGACCTACACTTCATTCAAGGTGTTCTGGGAATGAGAACTCATTCACATTATGTAATTGCCTTAGAGGCCACAATTCTCTCTCATGTTGATTTACCAGACCCAGAGTCTTTCCACTTATTCAAATCAAGCAGGGATTCAGTAGGCTTCTGGTCTATTTCAGCCAGAGGGACACCACAATCTATGAACAAATGCAAAGATCTCTGATAATCCCTTTGACTTTGCTGATCATTGTGATAAACGCACTCATTTTGTCTCTACCAGTAAAGTGCCTCCACTTGACCCCTAATGCTCCAGGATCCCATCATCCTCATTGAATTTTTTTTTAAAGCCCATTTCAATGTCACAATTTTCCTCTCCCATTCCTGGTCTGCCGAGAAGAGTTACTACAGAGCTCTCCCAAACTGCCAATGCTCCTCTCGCCAATGAACTTCTCAAGTCCTTGGCAAAGAGTGTCTTCCGAATCTTCCCAGAGTACAAGGGTTGAGTAAGGCTTTACATACATCCACTCCAGCATTCTGGCATTCCTATGTCTCTGTATATGTTCTATAACACTGGTTCTCAGTTGGGGACAATTTCCAAACCCCCGCACTGCTGTCTGGCAGTGTCTGGAGACATTTTTGCTTGTTATAACTGAGGTGTGTGTGTTTGTGTGTGTGTGTGTGTATGCACGCGCGCGCGCGCATCACGTGTGCTACTGGCATCTAGTGGCTAGAGGCCAAGGATGCTGCTAAACATCCTACAATGCATAGAGCATCCCCTAACAGAGCTATCCAGTCCAAAATGTCAGTTGTGCCAAGGTCGAGAAATTCTATAACATACTTACAAAGTTCTGGCTTTTTTTTACTTTAGGGTAGGCTAACGTTTTTGCATCCAAGTTTCATACAACTGAGAAAACTGTTGAAACTATTCCCAGGTGCTCAAGCTAACAGTGGGTCTGGAATCACTGTTCACTACACCCATATCAGCAAATCCAGCCTAATCCATCATTGTATTATTTCCACCTGATTCAACACTGGTAAGATCTACAACCATATCTATTTCTCAGGTTTCTATTGATATAAATTACAAAAATCCTTACTTTGGCGATGTATCTCCTCATGGTCGTATTTTCTACTTGGTGACTCCTCCCATTGTCTGTGAAGACCCGAGTTTCATTATTGGTCTAGAAAAATGAGAGGTAGTGGAAGCAAGTCTTGAGGATCTAAAGCCTTTTGCAAGGAAACCATCTCAGGGAAGGTCATCACAGGCTTTTCAGGCAAGGGAGACTGACTTCAAATAGAGGAAGAAGGGCTCCTTCTAACGGCAAGAGATGCTCAGCTAGATTGAGCAAAACCCTCAGCTTTGTTGGAATCTGCTCATCTGTTCCCAAATTTTTCAGGATTCCATTCCTTCTCATTGATGCCTTGTGACATAAGACACCCTAAAAGTTCTGAATTAAATGTGTTGTCATTCAGCCGCTGATTTTGGCTTTGCATCCCTCTTTCTCAAAAACAAAGGAATCCTGATAATATATAACAAATTCTCCCAAATGTTAATATGCAGCCAAGCTAAAAGCTAAGATAGAAAAATCTCCTGGAGGCTCAAAATAGGGAAGTTGAGTCCATGGTGCAAGGGAGAGATGAAACTTATTTTTTTCTTGAGACAGTGTCTCAACTCTGTCACCAGGCTGCAGTTCAGTGTTGGGACCACAGCTCACTGCAGCCTTAACCTCCTGGGCTCAAGTGATCCCTCCATCTCAGCTTCCTGAGTACCTGGAACCACACATGTGTGCCTCCATGGCTAGCTAACTTTTAAAACTTTTTTTGGAGAGACAGGGTCTCACTATATTGCCCAGGCTAATCTTGAACCCCTGAGCTCAAGAGATCCTCCCACCTCAGCCTCCCAAAGGGCTGGGATTACAGGTGTGAGCCACTGCACCTGGCTGAGTTGAAACTTGATAGTTCACAAAGGCCAAAAGAACTGGACACACAACTAGCTGTCTAATCTTGAGTGTAGATGAGAATCAAGGCCAGAGGAGCCACAAACACTGTGAGTAGTAAACTACCTAACACTACAAATGAAAGAGCACCTCCCTTCCACTGACTGAAAAGAAAAGATAGGTGCTCCCTGGTTGCTAGCCCCATCTTGAACCTAAAGACCAGGGTTAACCAGAAGGGCAGATATGAGAATCAAAAAAAATCATTTTGGAATCCTGACAGAAGCAGGTCTAAGTCCTGCTCTACCTGGGGTCTTTTTTAAGTTATGGGAGACAAATCATTTGGTTTAACATAAGGCTTAGTACACGTTTTTCTGTAAAGGGCCAGAAAGCACATATTTTAGATTTTGTGGTCCATAGTTTTTGTCACAACTACTAAATTTTGACACTGCAGCAAGAAAGCATAGATAATACACTAAAACACAGGCATTGCTATATTCTAATAAACCTTTAAGGAAGTGGGCTGGATTGGGCCCACAGGGGGTAGTTTTTTGACCCCTGACTTAACTCACTAAGCTACTGAGAGTTGGTGGGCTATCCTGATATCTAAGAGCAAACTAAACATCGAAGACTCAGGATTTCTGATATCTAACACAACTTGAGGTATCATGGACTTTACATACTTAGCATGTGAAGATGCAGTCCAGGAACAACAGGAATTGTAATCCAAATAGAGAAAATTGTGGAAACCTCACAGATATATCCTTTGCTGAGTAAAGCCTTTAACCAAATAAGCTTTAAATGTCACAGAAACGCCTAAGAAAGAAATGGTATTCGATCCTGCTTAACTGCCTGTTCCCAGTTTGTTTTCACTGGCATCATGCTGTTCTCTCCCTACGCACATCTTTTCCTCAGGGAATCTTTGTTAAATTTTACCTCAAAAATTACATATTTCCACTCTATAGCTTCTGAATTTGCCCTCACCTTCTTGGGTTTTTTTTTTTTTTTTTTTTTTTTTGAGACAGAGTCTTGCTCTGTCACCCAGGCTAGAGTGCAGTGGCACGATCGCAGCTCACTGCAACCTCCACCTCCTGGGTTCAAATGATTCTTCTGCCTCAGACTCCTGAGTAGCTGGAATTACAGGCGCCCATCACCTCACCCGACTAGTTTTTGTATTTTTTTTTAATAGTGATGGAGTTTCACCATGTTGGCCAGGTTGGGCTCAAACTCCTGACCTCAGGTGATCCACCTGCCTCAGCCATCCAAAGTGCTGGGATTAGAGGCACGAGCAACCGCACCTGGCCTCTGTAAATTTTATTATTCCTTTTTTCCACAGCTCGATTTTCCTTGCCATACAGTACCTAGAAAGGCCCAGCCATTTCCCCCAATCAGACCAAGCACTTGAAAAGACAAGCCAGTGCCCTGGGTTATCTATCCATTCAGCCAGTGAGTAAGTCTGTCAAGAATTAAGAAGCATTCCTACTACTGGAATTACATTAAAACTGTATTGATTGCATAGATTTGTACCTAAGAAGCAGCTTCAAATGCATTCACTGCAAATATATATTCACTCTTACCAATGCATCTGTATCTTTGAACCACCATACAAGTTTTTATAATTGATTTCCAGAGTTCCATTCTTTAATTTTGGCCTTATATGCTATATGATGACACAAGATTTCTTAACTGTAAGGGATTAATATATTCTAGTAATTTTTTAAATTATATTTTTACTATGTTACTGTAAAATAACAGTATTTTACTATAAAACCGATGCTCAGTTAAAAAATTAAAATATAGAAGTTAAATGTGAAAAAAATTCCTGCATTCTCTTCGATGCTGTGGTGGCATAGGACAGACTCACGATTAGATGCACTATTCACTCACATGGACACACACGAATTTAAGGTATGTGATTTTTTTTTAAGACTGAGTCTCACTCTATCGCCCAGGCTAGAGTGCAGTGGCAACATCTTGACTCACTGCAACTTCCGCCTCCCAGGTTCAAGCGATTCTCCTGCCTCAACACCCCAAGTAACTGGGATTACAGGCACGCACCACCACGCCCAGCTACCTTTTGTATTTTTAGTAGAGACAGGGTTTCACCATGTTGGCCAGGTTGGTCTCGAACTCCTGACCTTAGGTGATCCACCCACCTCGGCCTCCCAAAGTACGGGGATTATGGACGTGGGCCATCACACCCAGCCTGTGATGTTCTTAAACTAAACTGTTACACTCTTCTGTCATAAAATTTGGTCATCATTTTCAAGGATCCTTTTTACTGTAGTATATAAAAAATTATTTCTATTTTTACAAAATTCATTAACACTGATGTGCTACTTACATTTTCTACTTGAATCTCCTAATCAAAAATTCCTATTCTATGAATTCCAGAAAAAAGAGATGCACATTCTATATTCTGATACATACTAACTTCTCTTCCAAAAGCATTTTTTTCACTGCCACCACTAGGAAAAAGGGTGAAAGTCATGCTCCAAAAATCGATTTTTGATGAAATTTATCAAATTTTAACTAATATTTTGTCCTTTTTCTCAGAATATGGGGGAGAGAAGTTCACAAAAGAAATCTGCAATAGCCGCAACCTAAACTCTGATTAAAGTAATGCTAAAGCCCTTAGAAGGCAATCATGTCAAAGCCTGAATGAAAATGTGAAAAAACCAATGATCAACATCTACTAAAAAATGTGTCATTAGCAACTCTGACACTTAAACCCCTGCCTTAACAGTGTTGAAAAAATAAGTGTAGTATGTAGTGTCCAGTTATTACAAGATGAACACAATTATCTGTTACAAAAGATAATTGAATCTATATGGTATAAAACCAGTAGAAAACTAGACATCTGGGAAGATAGGACCCAACTTGATTAGTGAGGCTAAAGGAGGACAGGATCTAATCACAAGACAATGCCAAATTAACATTGGGGAGTTCAGTATTGAGTGGTTTTCTACATTTCAATGGTCTCCCGACTTAATCTTATTAAGGCTACTTTCAGGTTTCCTGTTTACAAATTCATGATATTCTGCAGGTGATCTCAACATAATTTTCAAAAAGGACCTATTAACAAATATTGAGCACCTGTGAAGTATATGGCAATGGTAAGATTATGTAGATTCAGTAGTGAACAAAGTTTCTGTCTTTATGGAGTTAACATTCTAGTGGACACTTAATTTTGGCATGTCCACCATGATACTTTTATAAAAGGCCTGAGAAAAATTTCACTCTTAACACCCCTCTTCTAAGTAACATTTTATAAAGGTCAAGGTTCTGACTAAAGAAGCCCTTGCTATGCTAATCATAAAGATTGTTTTGTTGTCTTTGGACCACTGGGACATGAGGAGCTACGGCTGAAACACTGACTTTGAGACTTGATAACTGGAAGAATTCAAATGACACGAGTCTTCACAAAGAATCATTTTATAGATTTTTTTTCCTGTGTGGATTCTCTGATGTTCTTACCACCCCTATTACTTTTATAGGATTTATCACCAACATGGATTCTGTGATGAACTGTAAGATTTGATCGCCAACTGAAGCTCTTACCACATATCTCACATTTATAAGGTTTCTCCCCAGTGTGAACTCGCTGATGAGACTGTAGTTGTGAAGACCGACTGAAGACTTTACCACACACATCACATTTGTATGGTTTCTCTCCTGTGTGGACACTCTGATGAAGTTGAAGACTTGAGGCCTGACTGAAGTACTTACCACACTCCCCACATTTATATGGTTTTTCTCCTGTGTGCACCCTCTGATGCATGTCAAGGTTCAAGCTCCACTTGAAGCCCTTCCCACACTCATCACATTTGTATGGCTTATCTCCAGTGTGGACTTTTTGATGGGCTTGAAGATGTGCACTCCGACCGAAACTCTTCCCACATTCTTCACATTTGAATGGTTTTTCTCCACTGTGGACTCTCTGATGGGCCAAAAGATTTGAGGCCTGCCTGAAGACCTTCCCACACTCCTCACAATTATATGGTTTCTCTCCTGTGTGGATCCTACAGTGAATTTTAAGATCTGCTCTACGACTAAATCCCTTGCCACACTCTTCACATTTGTATGGTTTCTCACCCGTATGGATCAGCTGGTGAATCTGAAGTCGTGAGCTCTGATTGAAACCCTGCCCACACTCCTCACACTTAAAAGGTTTCTCTATACTGTGGGCCTTCTGATGGATTTGAAGATACGAACTTTGACTGAAGCCCTTCCCACATATCTCACATTTATAGGGTTTCTCTCCTGTGTGGACCACTAGATGAACTTGATAATGGGAATTCCTCCTGAAGCTCTTCCCACACTCATTGCATTTGTATGGCTTCTCTCCAGTGTGGACTCTCTGATGGGCTTGAAGATTTGAACTCAGAGTAAAGCCTTTCCCACATACAGTACATATGTATGACTTCTCTCCAGTGTGAACTCCCTGATGGGCCTGAAGACTTGAAGGCCGACTAAAGCCTTTACCACATTCCTCACATTTATAGGGTTTTTCTCCTGTGTGGACTCTCTGATGAATGTAAAGATTTGAGCTACAAATGAAGCCCTTACCACACTCCTCACATTTGTATGGTTTCTCTCCTGTATGAACTCTTTGATGGGATTGAAGATGTGAATTCCGACTGAAGCTCTTACCACATGCATCACATTTGAATGGCTTCTCCCCAGTGTGGAGTCTCTGATGGTCCTGAAGATGAGAGGCCTGACTGAAGGCCCTCCCACACTCCTCACAATTATAAGGTTTCTCTGCCGTGTGGACCTTGCAATGAACATTAAGTGCTGATCTACGACTGAAACCTTTCCCACATTGCTTACATTTGTATGGTTTCTCTATCACGTGGACTTTCTGATGGGTCTGTAGATGAGCGCCCTGACTGAATTCCTTACCACACTCATCACACTTAAGTTTTTCTCCCACATGTACTTTCTGATGAACAGGAAGAACTGGGCTGTAACAGAAGCCTTTTCCACGCTCAACACATGTAAGAGACTTCTCTCCTGATTGTAACTGCTGATGAAGATCAAAGCTGGAGAGATCACTGAAGGGTTTTTTACACTCATTACACTGGTACGATTTCTGTCCTGTGTGAATCATGCTATTGTGATCAAATGTCAAAATCTTCATGTTGTCTTTTTCATAATCATTGGGTCTATAAGATTTTTCACTTTTGTGTACTCTATGACCATCATGATGTGAAATCCAACCGATGGGATCAACACCCTTCTTACATTGACATAATTTATTTTTTATGGAAATTTGCTGATCTCTGTTCAATCTCTGTGACTCAGTCAGGAATGTTTTCCTCCAAGAATCCTGGGTTCTCAAGATAGGAAACTCTGGATTCCCAGTATTATTGGGACCATCTGCTTTATTTACTATATAGTTCTCATCTTCAGAAATTTGAATAGACAGTTCTGTCCCTACCTGGTAAGGGAAATCACCTTGTTTGTGACACTGAGAATTATTGATCATGGAGTCTTGACACCTGGTTAAGTCATTTGCAATTTGTTGCCAGATTTGCCAACAAGAAAGCTCTTCTTCTGATTCTCTGTCTTGAACAGTAATTAACTTACTTTGATTTTTCTCTCCTGTAAGGACAAAGGATTCAGAGAGATAGTGAATTTTTTTGTTCAAAGATTTAAGATTTCACACTGAGGACAGAGTAAAAGACTTTAATGAACCTCGGGATAGTTCTGCTCATCTTTTGTGACACATTTGAAGTTTCTGGTTTACATACTGACAGAAACCAAGAGATGGTCCAAAACCAAGAGATGGTCCACCAAGCTCCCAATTGCTAAGCACTAATGAAACCCATTTAAAAACACAACTACTGACATACTATCTAAATTTTTTATTCCATGTCTTTCCTACCATAATATGGTATCAATAAGGAAAAACATTTTGTAGTGCTCACAGTTTACAACCACAGCCCAGAAGTTACTGCCCGGCAGTCATTCATAGTCACTCAAGGAATGTATGCATATATGAGTCCTTCCAACATTTCTTCATATATAAATGACTTCCAACATTTCTTCTAACTTCAAATCCAAGTTTAAGTTTGAGCCAGGTCATAGAGCAAAAGAGCTTTTACAAGTAAGGTATCTGAAATACAAAAAGAACTAGAAAGTACAGTTTTGCTGCAAAGTTGAAAAGCTGTACCTGAGGTAGGGGTACACCAAGTGAGTTATTGCTGAAGAGAAAAATCAAAGTTGATAATCACTTGGGGTGAAAGGAAAGCATGAAGACCTATGCACTGGATCCTTCTAAGGCTTTTGCACTGAGTCAAAATTGGAAGGCTAGCAAAGAATGCTGTCTCTTTGAAAGCAAGGTATAGAAAGTTTCTGGATGTAGATATGTTTGTCTTTAACAAGAATGTTTTCCAAATTGACAAAGTGGTCTACTAGTCAATTGTGAAATAAATTTAATAGCTTGTGATATTTAGGAAAAAAAAACAGATAAAGTATCATATCAGAATAATCACAAGCAGTAATGGTGTCATTACATAAAAGGCCTTCTAAAGACATACATATAAGCCTACACGATATAAATGTTTGAGAGGCAACAATGTAAGATCCATTTCTTTTTATGAATGTGGACTTTGGAAGAAGCAAATGGGATGCAACTGTGCAAACATTTTGAGGGAAAGGCTAATGCTCATGTCCTGGTTTTTAGTTTTACTTTTTCTTTCCTGATATAATGGATAAGGAAATCGAATTTTATTCCCTTCTATGGGGGAATACCTAAGAAATAGAAATAAAAGTCCTTATTGTAAAATATTCCCTCCCCGAATGAATATGCTCTGCTACAAATGCTCAAAGAAAGTCATAAACAAAGCATGTTATTCAGTTTGGTTACAACTATGACACTATAGGTTCCCCAAGATATGGGTCAACTTGTACAGACAGGCAAACACATGCAAACACACACACACACACACACACACACAAAGAGAAATTAGAATTAGGTTAGGAATTCATTAGAAGACAAAAAATATTTTGCAATATCCCTTATTTATGCTGATTTGTTCACCACCTATTAGTTACCTCCATGGAAGACAGATTTCCATTAACTCATTTATTCAACTAATATTTATAGTGTCTCTGCCATATACTAGGACTATTCTAAGCACTGAGGAGACAGAAGCAAATAGATAACATTCCTCCACTCCTGGAGATTACACTCCAGTGAGGAGACAAACGTCACTAAACAAAAACATATATGAGGTGATAATCAGTGCTTACACACAATATAAGGCAGTGCACAGAGAGTAAATGGAGAGAATGTATTTTTAATAGGGTGGTCAGAGGAGGCCTTTCTTTTTTTTTTTCTTGAGACAGTCTCGCTCTATCGCCCAGGCTGGAGTGCAGTGGCACGATCTCAGCTCACTGCAACCTCTGCCTCCTGGGTTCACACCATTCTGCCTCAGCCTGCCGAGTAGCTGGGACTACAGGCACCCACCACCACGCCCAGCTGATTTTTTGTATTTTTAGTAGAGACAGGGTTTCACCGTGTTAGCCAGGTTGGTCTCGATCTCCTGACCTCATGATTGATCTGCCCACCTCAGCCTCGCGAAGTGCTGGGATTACAGGCGCAAGCCACCGTGCCCGGCCGAGGCCTTTCTTATAATACTAAAACTGAGCAAAGAAATGAATGAAGAAGGGACCAGAAGGATTATAGGTAAAAGATTATTTCAGGCAGAGGGAAGAACACACAGGGTTGTGAGGCAGAAGCATCCTTGATAGGTCTGAAAAGCAAGAGGGAGGACAATGTGGCTGGAATTCACAGAAAGAGAGTATAGAAGATATATTTAGAGAGGTAGTGGGGGATGAAAAGCACACCGTGTAAGACTCTGTCAGCCACATTAAGTGGATTTTACTCTATGTAAAATAAGTCACAGAGAATTTTGAGCAGAAGAACAACATAGTCTGACACAAGGTAACAAAAACTCACTTTGCCACTTAAAGAACAGAATGTAAGAGGAGAGGGGTGGGAGCAGGGCAAGCAGTACAAAGGGTGTTGCAATAATCCAGGAAAGACAGTTGGCAATTTGGACCAGGTGATGGCAACAAGGCTAAGAAGAAGCAAAGCAGATGGACAGTTAACTATAAGAACTCATAACTGTTTGGTTTTTACCTAAATTTCCCTGTCTTCGGGTTGCTGTCGTCATTATCCAAAGCTGCTCATTTCTTTCTATAGGTGATACATCTTGTTTGAAGGGTGGATGCCCTGTGAAAATGCCAAATCACAAGTTGAAAATGAACATATTAGAGTTAAAATACACTGGAAATCTGAGTTGCAACTGCACATTCAAGACACTGAAAGCAGTGTTTTTCAAACTTTTATTTAAATTGTGACTTCAGTAAAGAAACACCATTTATTTCATGACCCAGACACACATGCGTAAATACATATTATGAAAACCAAGTTTGAATAACCTATTTTTAACTAATGTCTGTTTTCCTTAAATCTCCCATTGGTTCTCACATCACTCAAGCAATTGGCCAGAGTTTTTGCTGCAGTGTGTGCCATTCTTCCTAAGGAGTTCTAGTATTTTCTACCCTATTTTATTTCATTAAAATCTGCTGATGACATTCAATAAGTTGGTTTTATAATTCAATACTGGGACAGGTGTAAAACATGAAAAAGAATAGACAAGGCATAGCAGTATTCTGTTCATTTACAGTTCTTCTATAAAACACAAATGAAAAAGACCTAAAATATTCTGTTCAGAAAGACCAGAAACATCCAGTGTCTCTGCATCCCACAAAAATTAGGAAAGTCAGATTCCCACACTCAGGGAACAATTTCAAGGGCCACAAAGCCTTAAAACTCCAAGGGCACAAAGATATTCCAGAGGGAGGCTGTCCTCACCCACTGACAGCAGGTTCCTAAAGTTCTCCACCATCACATCTCGGTACAGCTTCCTCTGGGCAGGGCCCAGCAGCCCCAATTCCTCCTCCGTGAAGGCCACAGCCACGTCCTTGAAGGTCACTGCTTCCTACGACAAAAACAAATGACCTCAATCTTACAACCAATGTCCACTAGAAGATGGGTAACACTGAGAACAGGTGGAAAGTTGTTCTGGATGCCCAGCCGTTTGTAGATTTCCCAGCCCTTCTCCTGTCTTGCCAATGCCATACACTGACTTACCAAAAGTGCTGCTGTGAAAAAGAAAGCTTTGTATATTTACTGGATGCTCTCAGTGAGTACTCTTATAAGGGAATTTCCTGGAACTGTTACCTGCTGAACCTAAAACATTGCCAATTTCCCCAGAAAGGTTTACCAATTGAGTCCCAATAGTGTTTGATAGCACCTGCCTTCCTACTGAGGTGGGAGCCAAGTGAGCAGCGTTATATGTGGAAACAAACCTAAAGGGCATGTCAGGTTTCTGAATGAAGGACTCTCTCTGTCCTCCTGTCTTGGTCTTTCACTTGAATATAATACACTGATCCCGGATCTTTAGTTTTCCATGTGAACTTGAGCACGTTCCTCATTTTTCACAAGCCCTTTTCTATTTATGTTTAAAATGGAGACAAAACAAAGAACCTCTTCATAGTTGCTGTGAGGTCTCAATACAGGGGCAGAGTGTAAGTGCTTGGCAAATCCTTTCCTACCACTAGGCATTTTAAATTAAGGTCACATACTACTTTAACTAAAAAAAATATTAAAAGGGAAAAAGACCAGTAAACACACAGGGTATGACTGAGGCATGGGGAAGACAGAATCTAGCTCTTGTAGTAAAAAAAAGTCTAATATTTTTTCTGGGTGAAGCAGCTGTTAAATCTTGACACACTGTGCCATATTTGAATATTCTATCAAAAAAAATCTGAAGTACCACACACAAAACATACCTTTTCAATTCTGAATACCTAATGTTACGGATTTTAAAAGGCAGTATTTTTCAAAATTGATTTTTTCAGAAAAAGTTAAATGCAAGAAAACTAACACTGTAGTTCCTAAAACAGTAAAAATCCTACACTAACTGTATATAGAGAATAGTTTAAAAACTGGATACATAAATTTGATAGAAATACAACAAAAATAAATGTTATAAATGTAAGAAATGTAAAATTATATCTATGTTATGAATGCCAATATATAATTACAAGTACATACAATGAAGAGATTATGGAAATAAGATTTTTTCATTTCTATTAATTTTTTTTTTTTTTTTTGAGACAGAGTCTTGCTCTATTGCCCAGGCTGGAGTAGTGGCACGATCTTGGCTCACTGCAACCTCTGCCTTCCAAATTTAAGTGATTCTCTTGCCTCAGCCAACTGAGTAGCTGGGATTACAAGTGTGCACCGCCATACCTGGCTAATTTTTTTATTTTTTATTTATTTATTTTTTTGAGACGGAGTCTCGCTCTGTCACCCTGGCTGGAGTGCAGTGGTACGATCTCTGCTCACTGCAAGCTCCGCCTCCCAGGTTCAGGCCATTCTCCTGCCTCAGCCTCCCGAATAGCTGGGACTACAGGTGCCTGCAACCACGCCTGGCTCATTTTTTGTATTTTTAGTAGAGATGGGGTTTCCATGTTAGCCAGGATGGTCTCGATCTCCTGACCTTGTGATCCACCCGCCTCAGCCTCCCAAAGTGCTGGGATTACAGGCGTGAGCCACCATGCCCGGCCTAATTTTTGTATTTTTAGTAAAGATGGGGTTTCACCATGTTGGCCAGGCTGGTCTCAAACTCCTGACCTCAAGTGATCCCACCCCCTGCCTCGGCCTCCCAAAGTGCTGGGATTACAGGTGTGAGCCACTGTGCCCACCCATCATTTCTATTAATTTTTCTACCTTTATTTGTAAAATAAAAATGACGAAATAAAACTAAAACCAAAACCAGCTAAACTCAAACGGAACAAAATAAGCACCTAGCACACTCAACAGGTCATCAGATGCCTTGACTCTTACTTGAAAAAGAAAAACCTGGTTCCATCTCTGAGTACTAAAATGGTATTTTTAACAGCTGGGAAAGGCAAGCTCTACTCACCTTGAACATATTCATTTTTAATTCTTCCTTCTGGGGAAGTGCAGAGTCCTAAGAAGCTGAACTAGGAAAGAAGAGAGAAATAAATCAAAACTGGGTAAGTATGTTGCTAATGCACGTGGCTGCTCTTTAGGAATTAGCAAAGGTGTGTGCTTCTTGGGGTGGCTGCAGCTTTATGTGGCTTTTAAGCAGATTATGACATGGATCCCAGATATCCAACTACCCCTTTCAGCAGTAGTTCAGAACCAGGCTAACCACACAGTGGCCTCACTGCCCATGTGCCTGTAATTGCACGCCAGTAATTCTTATTTTGAGTACAGCGTAAATTGAGACAATATAAGTACAGTAGGCCTGGAATTGATATGCATGGGTTAAAATCCTGACACTAAAAGCGTCACCTTGGGGAAACTATTAACATCTCTTTGCCTTACTTCTGTCATCTGCAAGTGGTAAAGAATAACAGTACCAACCTCATCGGATTGCTGGAAGGTAGAAAGCTCTTACAACACAGTCAGGTATCTTATTTATTTGCAACTGCAATAAGTAGAAGATGGTCTATGGTTTGAAATTATCCTTAAAAATATAATTTCCACCAACAGAATATTATAAGATAGTTGGAGTTCACAGGTTGTTGCTATGTCACGTGAAAGTGTCTTATAACTTCTGAAAAACATCTTGTCGTCTTTCCAATAATTTGCCAACACTGAACTAATAAAACCGAAGATACCGCAATTAAAAAACACCGTTTGACAATCCATACCTAACTTAAATTAAAAATGCAGGAACCTGGCCAGGCACAGTGGCTCATGCCTGTAATCCTACTAGCACTTTGGGAAACCAAGACAAGCAGATCACTTACAGTCAGGAGTTGAAGACAAGCCTGGCCAACAAGATGAAACCCTGTCTTTACTAAAAGACAAAAATTAGCTGGACATGGTGGCAGGCACCTGTAATCCCAGCTACTTGGGAAGCTGAGGCACAAGAATTGTTTGAACCCAGGAGGCGGAGGTTGCAGTCAGCTGAGATTGCCCCACTGCACTCCAGCCTCGGCGACTGAGTGAGACTCTGTCTCAAAAAAAAAAAAAAAAAAAAAAAAAAAAGGAAAAGGGAGGAACCTGAGTCTATATTGTTATAAACAAAAGAATGTGTAATAAATAAATGGGTGACAAAAGAAAGCTCCTATAGTAGAACACATAAACTAATAAAGGTAGAATGAAAGATAACTAGAACATCATCAATAGCTGCTAAAAACTGGTGAGTTTGGTGAGGAATAAGATGGCTACATAGTCTCAAAGTATTAAGTGCAAAAGGAAAAAGGTAACCTGGCAGACATTTTATCCAAAAAAACAAAGTTGAGACCACTAGTGGGACAAACCCACAAACCAACATTTGACTCCTATGATGCACTGAGAAGGATGCCTCCCTACTTTTATGGCATCTCTGCTGACAATGCATAGCTTGAATTTAATCATGAATAAATATTAAGGAAACAAAAAAATAAGAACATTTTACAAATAATTTCTCAATACTCTAGAAAGATATCGAGAGCAAAAAAGAAATAAAGTCTGAGGAATCATTCTAGACTAAAGGTGACTAATGAAACCAAAACTAAGTGCAATGCATACAATTAGACTGGAAACTCATCTGGGGGAAGAAATTACTTTCAAAGTCTTTAATGGGAAAATGGAGTAAGTTTAAATACAAACTGTGGGTTAGATAACAGTAAGTTATCAATGTAACTAATTTCATTTTCATCACTATCTCTAGCTTGCTCTCAAATACTTCAGCAAAAAGACAAAAACAAAATATAAGTATGACAAAGTTGTGAAAGCAAAAAGACAAAAAAAAAAACAAAACAAAAAACTACTTTGACAACAGCAGCAACAACCAGAACCTGGTGTTTCCAATTTATCAACAAGAATGAGACAGGTCTACTCAGTGATCATGGTGAAAAAGAAAAAAACAAAACAGCTTGTAACACAGAGAGAAATACATCCTACATTGATAAAAATAGCCAAATAATTGCCTCTTCCATCTAACATGACCACTTTGTTATCAGTGACAACTCCAGTCTTGTTATTTCCCCACCTCCAACATAAAAATTACAATAGTCTGATCAAATTACTACTGCTTCTTCACAGCATCCAATCCAGAACAAACCCATTGCCTAAAACTCTCCCCAACTCATCTAACATAAACCAAAACCCTATAACCAGGGTCCTCCTAATTGCCTCTTACCAAGACACCCCATGCATGTGTGGGCTCCTTGGATGCAGCAAGCTAAAACAAACAATTGTTGTTGGTTACAGGTATGTTCCTGGTGATGGCTGATGGTCATCAACAGAGCACACAGGGAAAACATAACATAACAAACAAACGTAACAACTGGTGAATCTGGGTGTAGAGTATATGAGATTTCCTTACGTTATCATTTTTGCAGCTTTTCTACAAGTTTGAAATTATATTTTTAAAAAAAGTTGGCTGGGCACGGTGGCTCATGCCCATAATCCCAACACTTTGGGAGGCCGAGGTGGGTGGATCACCTGAGGTCAGGAGTTCGAGACCAGCCTGGCAAACATGGTGGAACCCCATCGCTACTAAAAATACAAAAAAATTAGCCGGTGTGGTGGCGGGTGCCTGTAATCTCAGATGTTTGGGAGGTTGAGGCAGGAGAATCTTTTGAACCTGGGAGGCGGAGGTTGCAGTGAGCCGAGATCACGCCATTGCACTCCAGCCTGGGCAACAAAAGTGAAACTCTGCCTCAAAAAAAAAAAAAAAAAAAAAGTTAAAGAAATTAGGAAAGTCATTAATCAGAATAATAACGATGACGAGATGATGACAACTATGGCAATAATATCTAACGTTAATTAACAATAAATAGGTAGCTGATCTTCCCACTTCAGGCAGAAGGCCTCCAGTACAAAAGATGGGAAGGAATCTACTCCCCAAAGCCTGGGAGAAATAGATCTTCAGGACTCTGAGTTTCTCCATTTTGACTCTAGACTTGACAGCTGCCTTCTACTCATGTCATGGTTTTTGCAAAGAAACTTGACAGTTAATATTTAGTGGGAAAGAAAAATCACTGGACTGAGTAGGGTTCTAGTATGGCCAGCTCAGTTTTATCTGTGACATCTGGCAGGGTCAGTTTTCTAGTCCTGAGTTTCCAGATAAGACCTTTTCCTGAGCTTCTCAAACTTTAACATGCATCTCGCTCACCTTGGGATCTTGTTGAAATGCAGATTTCTGGGTCCTATCTGCAAAAATGCTAAATCAGAAGGCCTTCGGTAGGGCTCAAGAATGAGCCTTTCTACCTGGGTGATGCCAATGTTGCTGCTTTGTGAACCACAGTTTGAGTAGTGTTGCACTGTACTCAGTCCCTCTCCCAAAACAGCCCCTAATAAACAGAAATATATACAAGAAAAACTTGACAGAAAGGCACTAAACTATAGTTGTTATCTTTATACCCTAAGGTCATGGGGAATTTACATTTTTTAAATGTATTTCTGTGTTTTCCATGATTATGTGTTACCTCTATATTATTTGAAACAAATAAAACTAATAATTGAGAAAACTATTTTTAAAAACTCTTTTCTTTTTTTGAGACAGAGTCTTGCTCAGTTGCCGAGGCTGGAGTGCACCGGTGTGATCTCAGCTTACTGCAGCCTCGCCTCCTGGGTTCAAGCGATTCTCCTGCCCCAGCTTCCCAAACTCCTGGGATTACAGGTGTTGGCCACCACGCCTGGCTAATTTTTGTATTTTTAGTAGAGATGGGGTTTCGCCATGTTGGCCAGACTGGTCTCAAACTCCTGGCCTCAAGTGATCTGCCCGCCTCAGACTCCCAAAGTGCTGGGATTACAGGCGTCAGCCACTGTGCCCAGCCACTATTTTTTAAAAGTCATAGAATAGCCCAGACCTTGAGCAAAGTCCCCACAGTGAAGTCCCAACCTATTTTCACATGATACTAGCCAGCTGCCTATGGCTCATGCAGAACATACCAAAGAAGACTCAGGTCTAGACTCAGACTGCCTCGGTTTCAATGCTAGCTCTGCCTCCTACTAGCTAGGTGGCTATGAGCAAACAAGTTATGTTCTTATGTCTCAGTCTCCTCGGAAAAAGAGTATCACTTCACAGAGCCACTGTATAGTGGAAAGGTGTTCATTTGTATAAACCCCTTAGAATGGAACTTAGCAACTAACGCTAAATTATAATCACTTCTCATGCCCAAATACATGACCCCACACATTCTCTGATTTATGTGAATAAAACAAGAATAACAACAAGTCTTACTCACATGGGGTTCTGCTGCCTCCTCCTCTGTGCAGTGCTTTTTGAGAAGTCAGGGCTGGGGAAGAAAAACAGGCTATGAAGTAACCAGGATTGTGTCTTCATCCCGGATACATCACAGTGGCATCTCCCAGGACCAGTTAGAAGCAACCCTCTCCTTCCTCAAAAGAGGTCAGGGACAATCCAGCTTCATGGACTCACAGAATTTCGCCACAGAACGGGAGTTTCTAGGAAAATTACAGTAGTATTGGTAATTCACGTGCCAGGCAGTTTTACACTTTTTGTATTACCTCGTTTTCTCTCAAAACATTCTATTAGGAAGTTTTTGCTTTTATTTTCCTTCAGAACAGCAAACGAAGGCACGGGGATTAACTAACTCGCTCAATGTGATACTGTATGAAGTGGTAGGGCTGGCTCATTAGGTGGGGGAGTCACAATGAGGGAGCGAACAGCCCGAGAGACCTTCAAACCCGACGAAGCATCACCCCAGCCGCCCGAAGCCAGTACGCCCCCAATTCTAACAAGCTCCGCCCAGGGAAACGCAAAACAGCATCCTGGCCCCTCAAACCTCCGCTCTTAGCCGCTACTCCTTTTTTTCCCCAAACAAAAGACCGCTAGCTGCTGACCACAAGTGCATTTCGGGGAAGTTTGAAAGGTTCCTGAGAAGCTGACCTGAATCACCAAAGCCAGGGAAAAGATGGCTGCTACGTCGTCTTCCTGGGCGGAAGTGCCTGCGAGTATCAGGAGGACCTGGACTACGCTTCCCAGAATTCCACAGCACTGCCTTCCTCGAGCCGGAAGTGCCTACAACTACCTAGAACGATTGGACCTACAGTTCCCAGGATTCCGCAGGGGAAACATTTACAGCCTTACTGCAGCTGAGCTATGCGCGACTACACGGAACTCCGGACTACATATCACAGAATGCTGGAGTTGGGGGAAAAACAGAACAGTACCGCCCTCCTGGACTACACTTCCGGAATGTCCAAGCCTTCTGATGTGGAAGTGTCCAACTACCTTGAGCTCCTGGTTTTCATTTCCCAGAATCCCTCACTTCTCTTTAGGTATTATTATGGTCTGAGTGTTTATGGCCCCCACCAAATTCGTATGTTTAAATCCTAACTCCCAAGAAGATATTAGGAGGTGGAACCTATGGGACGTGATCAGATCAAGAGGGCAATGCCCTCATGAATAGGATTAATGCTCTCTTATAAGTGGCCTGAGGGAGCTCCTTTGCCTCTTTAGTTATGTGAGGACACAGCCAGAAGGACCATGTATGACTTAGAAAGCGGGACCTCACCAGACACTGAATCTGCTGGCACCCGATCTGGGGCTTATGTGCCAGCAATTTCACTCCTAAGTAAATACCCAGGAGAACTGAAAGATATCCACACAAAAACTTGTTCTAAAAAAGTTCATAGCAGCATTAGTCATAATAGTCAAAAAGTGGAGAAGACCCAATGTCCATCAGCTGATGAGTGGATAAACAAAATGTGGTCTAGCCATATAATGCAATATTATTTAGTAATGTGAATGAACAAAATATTGATTCATGTTATAACATAGATGAACTCTGAAGACATTATGTCCAATGAAAGAAGCCAGACACAAGATACCATATATGGTATGATTCCATTTATATCAAATGTGCAGAATAGGCAAGTCCATAGAGACAGAAAGTAAATTAGTTGTCTCCAAGGCTGGGGAGATGTAGTTGGGAATGGGGAGTGACTGTCAATATGTAGGGTTTTTTTTTTCTTACTTTTTTAGAGACAGCGTCTTGTTATGTTTCCCAGAATGGAGTACAGTGGCTATTCACAGGCATGATCATAGCACACTGCAGCCTTAAATTCTTGGGCTCAAGTGATCCTCCCGCCTCAGCCCCCTGGGTAGTTGAGACTACAGGCATGCACCACCACACCCAGCTCATGTAGGGGATTTCTTTTGGGAGCAGATGAAAGAGTTCTAGGATTAGATAGTGGTAATCATTACATAATATTGTGGATCTTTTCAAAGATAGAAAAATGTTATGTGACAATATCCCCTAAAGCGTTAAAATGTAGCTAAACTCAAAGCTAAGACAGGGAAATCCCAACGGCCAAAGATGAACAGGCAAGTTAGGCCCACAGATGAAAAAACTGAATGATCCCACAAGGGCTGGGCATACTAGGTAAGAGCTAAGGAATTAATCTTGTGTGTGAATGGGAGTTAGAGTAGCCATGCATTTTGGGAGACATGAACTATACAATATTACAAATGAAACAGTTCTCTCCTCTTGACTGTGAACAAACAACAACCAACCAAAAACAAAGCCAGATAGCTCCCAGCTTCTACAGCTGTCTTGTGACTAACCTGAAAACTCTGGTCATGAGGAGGGTAGATGTAGACTGTACCTACAGTCTTATCAGTTATGGGGCAGAGGGGCAAGAAATTATTTGGTTTAGTCTACTGGTTTTGGTTACAAATTACCTTGAAGGAAGATGACCTAATGTGGTATCTGGTGATACAAAGAAAGAAAAAGAAAGAAAAGAATATAGGTACTGGATTTCTGAAGCCCTTTGTTCAGAAAAGAGTTAACATAGGCCTGAGACTGTTGTACTTAAAAGGCCTGCTTGCAACATGCTATAGTTTGATGGTGTTCCCTTGTTAAAACTTAATCCCTTCTTGCTTTTTCATCACTTCCACCATATGAGGACATAGCATCTGTCTCCTCCAGAGGATGCAGCAACTGGATGCCATATTGGAAGCAGACAGCAGCAGCCCTCACCAGATGTTAAACCTGCCAGCATCTTGACCTTGGACTTCCCAGCCTCAAGCACTATGACAGATAAATTTATATTGTTTATAAATTACCTAATCTGTGGTATTCTGTTATAGCAGCGCAAGATATAAGGTTAGCCCTTGACTGGTATCTGGGAACTTGAATTTCAGGAGGATTTCCACAATTCTCTGATGAGAGTGGCTCACCATGCCCCGGCTATTTGTATAATGTGATTTATGCTGAATTCCTTCTGGGAATCTAGAATTTTGGCCCAAGCTGGCCTATGTGACCAGTTCCAAAACAAAACACAACGTAGTGCCTAGGGCACTAAGTCTCCATTGAGCTTACTGGGTAGACATTTCACATGTTTCAATGCTGAAAAAACAGTACATCATGAATGATTCTACAGGGAGTGGATTATTGGAAGCCTGTACCTGATTTCTTCTGGACTTCATCCCATGCACATTTTCCCTTTGCTCAACTGACTTGGTATCTTTTACTACAATAAATCATAGTGACTATGATAACATAGGGTGTCTTGAGTCCTCCTAGTGAATTACAAGAATGTGAAGGTGGTATTATCAATCCCCAGCATACCATGCACATTGAGGTAGCATGGACCTTAATGAGTAGCAAGCATCCAGTGAAGGTATACTGAAGAAAATCAATAGTGGAAAAAAGTCTCCCCAGTTAGATATAATTTATTGAGTAAAGCCCTTTAATCCAGCAGTTCACAACCTTTTTGGCACAGGGGACCAGCTTTGCAGAAGACAATATTTTTCCACAAGGTGAGGTGGGGGGATGGGGATGGTTTGGGGATGATTCAAGCACATTACATTTATCATTTTATTTTCACAAGGAGCGAGCAACTTAGATCCTTTCTTTAAAAAAAAAAAAAGAGTTTCGCTCTTGTTGCCCAGGCTGGAGTGCAATGGCGCAACCTCGGCTCACTGCAACTTCTATCTCCTGCGTTCAAGTGATTCTCCTGCCTCAGTCTCCCAAGTAGCTGGGATTACAGGCACCTGCCACCATGCCTGGCTAATTTTTGTATTTTTAGTACAGATGGGGTTTCACTATATTGGCCAGGCTGGTTTCCAACTCGTGACCTCAGGTGATCCGCCCACCTCAGCCTCCCAAAGTGCTGAGATTAAAGGCATGAGCCACTGCGCCTGGCTGCAACCTAGATCCTTCACATGCGTAGTTCACAATAGGGTTCATGCCACTGATCTGACAGAAGGCAGAACTCAGCTTTGCTCACTTGCCCACTGCTCACCTCTTGCTGTCTGGCCCTGTTCCTAACAGGGTCTGTGGCCTAGGGGTTAGGGACCCATGCTTTAATCAACTACACTGAAAATATCACCATCATGTCCAAGGAATATGGAATGTCATTCAAACCCACTCTTTGTCCTTACTGGTTCCACATCCAGTAAGTGGATTGCACTATATTCTGCTCTTATGCACACTTTTTCCTCAGTGAACCTTTTTAAACATACCTCCCTAACATATGTATACCACTTTGTTTTCATTTCCAGGATTCTCTCTGTGTTACAGATTAATGCTTTAAAAAATGTAGCAAGCAAGGCCGGGCACAGTGGATCATGCCTGTAATCCCAGCACTTTGAGAGGCCGAGGCGGGCAGATCACTTGAGGTCAGGAGCTCGAGACCAGCCTGGCCAACATGGTGAAACCTCGTCTGTACTAAAAATACAAAATTTAGGCCAGGCACGGTGGTTCACACCTGTAATCCCAGCACTTTGGGAGGCCGAGGGCGGATCACAAGGTCAAGAGATCGAGACCATCCTGGCCAACATGGTGAAACCCCGTCTCTACTGAAAATACAAAAATTAGCTGGGCGTGGTGGTGCACACCTGTAGTCCCAGCTACTCAGCAGGCTGAGGCAGGAGAATTGCTTGAACTTGGGAGGCAGAGGTTGCAGTGAGCTGAGATTGCGCCACTGCACTCCAGCCTGGCAACAGAGTGAGATTCCGTCTCGGGGAAAAAAAAAAAAAAAAAACTGAGTTGGACATAGTGGCACGCCCCTGTAATCCCAGCTACTCAGGAGGCTGAGGCAGGATAATCATTTGAATTCGCGAGGCGGAGGTTGCAGTGATTCAAGATTGCACCACTGCACTCCAGCCTGGGCAACAGAGAAAGACTCCATCTCAAAAAAAAAAAAGAAGTGTAGCAGACATTAATTGCAAAGATACAATTGTTCACACTCATCCATTTATCCACATATTCAGAGAATTTTTTTGTTTTTAAAATTGGCTTCCAGAATCTATTAATTATGATCTTATGTGCCATATAACAATATAGAACAATCATATTTTGAAGGGATTATCATATAGCACTTTTTAAAATTCTAATGTACATAATTTACTGCTTTGGTAATACTGATGTTCAATAAGAAATTAAAATGTAATTTATGGAATTATAAAATGGAAAAATACCACAAAATGCTCATTGCAAGAGAAAATTGCTAAAAAAAAAAAAGTATCCTTTACATATTATCTTATGCATGTACATACACACTCACTCATAAAAATGTATAGATTTCATTATGCTACAAAGGCAATAGTCTATGATCTTCCAAAGCCCATATTTTTTCTTTATCCTGTCATTACAGATACCTGCCGCCATTTTAATAGCTTCAGGTCAATACAGGAATGAAAATATCAAAAGTCAAATTATTATAGAGGAACACACACTTCCATTTAAAACAATTCATTGACATCACTGATATGTTACTTAGTCTTTTTGGTATTTTAATCTCATAATCATAAATTCCAATTATATAACTTCCAAATCAGAGATATACAGTGTAAATTCTGAAAAACACTCTTCCTTAAACCCATGTTTTACTGCCAGCAATAGGGAAAAGCATGGTAAATGCCAATCCTGCCCAAATAATAAATTTGATAAAATTATCAAATTTCCACAAGTTGTTTTTGGTATTCGCTTAATGGGTGTGGGGCAAAAATATGGTACAGCCCCTACCTCAGAAGTTTTTTTTTTTTTTTTTGAGACGGAGTCTTGCTCTGTCACCCAAGCTGGAGTGCAATGGCGCAGTCTCGGCTCACTGCAACTTCCGCCTCCCGGGTTCAAGCAATCCTCCTGCCTCAGCCTCCTGAGTAGCTGGGATTACAGGCGCCTGCCACCATGCCCAGCTAATTTTTGTATTTAGTAGAGATGGGGTTTCACCATGTTGGTCAGGCTGGTCTCTAAGTCCTGACCTCAGGTGATTCACCTGCCTTGGCCTCCTAAAGTGCTGGGGTTACAGGCATGAGCCACCACACCCAGCCAGAAGTTTTAATAAGAGAATGCTACAGTTATTAGACGGCAATCATGTCAAAGTCTGGATGGAAATGTGGAAAGTCAGAAATCAAATAAATTCAAGGGGGCTGATAAAAATTTGGCATTGGCAACTACTTCTGACACTTTAAAAGTGTTAGAGTAAACCCCTGCCTTAACATTAATGGATTAAAAACTCAATTGTGTGATATTCAGTAAACTCTTGTCAGGTTAATTAAATTTTTTTCAGTCTGCACTGTCAGAAAAATCACAAAATATACTTCAACTTGGCCGGGTGTGGTGGCTTACGCCTGTAATTTAACACTGGGAGGCCAAGGAGGTTGGATTGCTTGAGCTCAGGTGTTCAAGACCAGCCTGGGCAATGTGGTGAAACCCTTTCTCTACCAAACATACAAAAATTAGCTGGGTGTGGTGGCACGTGCCCGTGGTCCCAGCTACTCAGAGGGAGAGATGGGCAGATGGATGGAGCCTGGGAGGACGAGGCTGCAGTGAGCCATGATTATGCCACTGCACTCCAGCCTCGGTGACAGAGCGAGGTCCTGTCTCAAAAATAAAATTAAAAATAAAGGTACTTCAACTTATGTTTTATAAAACCTTTGGGAAACTAGACAGGCTCTCAATAAGAACCAAATTTGAGAGAAGAGACTACAGAGAGGACAGGTGTCAACTGTAAAAGAGTAATATCATATTAATATTGTAGGCTGCAGTATCCAGTGGTTTTCTGCATTTCAACAAATGTTCATTTCTGCAAATAATTTTATTTCGCAGGTTTCTTCCTTTGGATACAATGTTCAAATATTGTGCATTTACTCCTTTTGATTCAGTTAACAAACAAGTATTGAGCACACCTACAAGCACTAGTCAATGTTAAGGTTGTATAGATTCGGTAGCAAAGTTCCTGCCCCCATGGAGCTTACAGTCTAATGGACATCAATTCTGGCACCTTCATCAGTATACTTTTTTAAAGCCCAGGTCAAACTCATTTTCTAAGTCCTATTTCCTAGGTAACATGTCATAAATGTCAAAGTTTTGACAGAATGCTTTACTGTACCACTTAACAAGGGTTCTCAGCTGTGTGGTCACTGGACCACTGGGATATGCTGAGCTATTGCTTAAACACTGACTTAAATAAAACAAATATTTTAAATAAGAGAATGCTACTGTAATTAGAAGGCAATCATTTCAAAGTCTAGATGGAGGCCAGGGGCGGTGGCTCATGCCTGTAATCCCAGCACTTTGGGAGGCCGAGGTGGGTGGATCACATGAGGTCAGGAGTTTGAGACCAGCCTGGCCAGTATGGTGAAACTCCATCTCTACTAAAAATACAAAAATTAGCCAGGCGTGGTGGTGTGCACCTGTAATCCACTGAGGCAGGAGAATCACTTGAACCCGGGAAGTGGAGGTTACAGTGAGCTGAGATAGCACCACTGCATCCAGCATGGGCAACAGAGCGAGATTCTGTTTCAAAACAAAAAATAAAAAACAAAAAAAAGTCTAGGTGGAAATGTGGAGCGTTACAAATCAAATAAATTCAAAGAGGTTGATAAAGAAAATTTTTCCCTCCTATGAAATCTAATTACAAGCATTCAGGTTGTACATGAGTTCTGTTTTTTTTTTTTTAATCACCTTGTAGAACTTCCTCCCTCTGACAACTCTCTGATGTTCTTACTATTCTCATCATTTTCATAAAATGTACCAGCAGCATGAATTTTGTGATGACTTACAAGATTTGATCGCCAGCTGAACCTCTTACCACATATCTCACATTTGTAAGGTTTTTCCCCAGTGTGAACTCGCCTATGATACTGTAATTGTGAAGACCGACTGAAGACTTTACCACATACATCACATTTGTATGGTTTCTCTCCTGTGTGGACACTCTGATGAAGTTGGAGACTTGAGGCCTGACTGAAGTGCTTCCCACACTCCCCACATGTATAGGGTTTTTCTCCTGTGTGCACCCTCTGATGCATGTCAAGGTTCAAGCTCCACTTGAAGCCCTTTCCACACTCCCCACATTTGTATGGCTTTTCTCCAGTGTGGACTTTTTGATGGGCTTGAAGGTGTGCACTCCGACTGAAGCTCTTCCCACACTCTTCACATTTAAATGGTTTTTCCCCACTGTGAACTCTCTGATGGGTTAGAAGATGCGAGGCCTGACTGAAGACCTTCCCACACTCCTCACAATTATATGGTTTCTCCCCTGTGTGGATCCTACAATGAATTTTAAGATCTGCTCTACGACTAAATCCCTTTCCGCACTCTTCACATTTGTATGGTTTCTCACCGGTATGGATCAGCTGGTGAATCTGAAGTCGTGAGCTCTGATTGAAGCCCTGCCCACACTCTTCACACTTAAAAGGTTTCTGTACACTATGTGCTTTCAGATGGATTTTAAGATATGAACTCTGACGGAAGGCTTTACCACATACTTCACATTTATAGGGTTTTTCCCCTGTGTGGACTACCAGATGCACTTGATAATGAATTTTCATTCTGAAGCTCTTCCCACACTCATTGCATTTGTATGGCTTCTCTCCAGTGTGGACTCCCTGATGGGCCTGAAAACTTGAACTGTAAATGAAACCCTTACCACACACTTTACATACGTATGGTTTCTCTCCAGTGTGGATTCTCCGATGGGCCTGAAATTGTGAAGGCTGAATAAAGCACTTACCACATTCTTCACACTTGTAAGGTTTCTCTCCTGTGTGGACCCTTTGATGGATACGAAGGTTTGAGCTACAAGTGAAACACTTACCACAGTCCTCACATTTGTATGGTTTCTCTCCTGTGTGGACCATGCAATGATTATTAAGTGCTGATCTACGACGGAAGTTCTTACCACATGTATCACATTTGAATGGTTTCTCCCCAGTATGAATTCTCTGATGTTCCTGAAGATGGGAAGCATGTATGAAGGCCCTTCCACATTCCTCACAATTGTAAGGTTTCTCTCCTGAGTGTAATTTGCAATGTACAGTAAGTGTTGATCTACGACTGAAGCCTTTCCCACATTCCACACATTTGAATGGTTTCTCTACAGTGTGGACTCTCTGATGAGTTTGAAGATGTGAGCTCTGACTAAATTCCTTACCACACACGTCACACTTATAGCATTTCTCTCCCATGTGGACTCTTTGATGAATATGAAGGGCTGAGATGTAACAGAAGCTTTTTCCACACTCATCACATGTATGAGACTTCTCTCCTGAGTGTAACTGTTGATGAAGATCAAAGTTGAAGACATCAGTGAAGGATTTTTTGTACTCATCACATTGGTAAAATTTCTGTCCTGTGTGAGTTGTATATAGTCCTGCCCTAACCTGGCAGGACAAATCACCTTGTCTGGGGAACCGAGAAATACTTATCATAGAGTCTTCATACTTGATTAAATCACTTGCAATCTGTTTCCAGATTTGCCCCCAGTAAAGCTCTTCATGTCGTCCTGCTTCTGGAACAGTCTCCACCTCACTTTGGATCTTGTCTGCTGTAAGGACAGAGAATTCAGAGATGTGGAGGCTCTGTTAAAAGTTTTCAAGATGTCATACTTAGGCGAGAGCATGCGATTTTAACAAATCCAGAGAAGGTCCAGTTTGTGTAATGGTCTTTTCCACTGTGTATCATGATCTCTGATTTCCATGCCTAGATAAATCAAGAGGTGGTCCAATTGGCTGCTATCTACCAGGCATTAGACCATACCAAGTCTCCTATGTGAGACACAAGTTAGAAGTCAGAGTTAATTTTAAAAATTAACATGATACAAATTGTACTGCCATTTCCATCGAATTTTAAAGTCAGTGTAGAATAATAAATAGTAAATTATCTAAATATAAAAAGCATAGGCCAGGCATGGTCATGCCTGTATATCCCAGCATTCTGGGAGGCTGGGGCAGAAGGATAGTTTGAGGCCAGGGGTTTGAGACCAGTCTGGGCAACAAAGCAAGAATGTACCTCTATTAAAAATATTAAAAGTTAAAAAAAAATGTAGATAATATAAATCAACAAGAACTTCAAGGGAAAGTAAGAAAATAATCAAATATTTTGCAGTTTAGGTTCATGTTACATATTCAAATTATTAAATAACCTGAAATGTTTATATTTACATGTTCAAAATACAGTTGACCGTTGAACAACACAGGTTTGACCTGCATGTGTTCACTTATACATGGATTTTCTTCCATCTCTGCCATCCCTGAGACAGCAAGACCAACCCCTCCTCTTCCTCCTTATAATTTTCTTAATAACATTTTCTCTTCTCTTTATTGTAAGAATAAAGAATTCTTCCTTTATTGTAAGAATATAGTATACAATACATTATAACATACAAAATATGTGTTAATTGACTATGTTATCAGTAGGTCTTTCAGTCAAAGTAGGCCATGAGTAAAGTTTTAGAGGGGAGTCAAAAGTTATACTTGGATTTTTTACTGTGAGGGGAGTTGGTGTCCCTAACCCCCAAGTTGTTCAAGGATCAACCATATTCTTGAATATTCTGCATAACATATACACTTAATCTTATTTTTCTGTGTTGACAGACATTAAATGAGCTGACAACTATTATAAACTCTTGACCACTTCTAATATAACTTAGATTTAAAATGTTTAAACCCTTCTGAAAGGTTTATCCTTAATAATATTCCAAAATGTTTAATCTTGTATAAAGAGATATAAATATTTGGAAATTATTTTTTAAATGAACTCTTCCACAAAAGTTTAGCAGAAAGACGTACCTCTAAGGAAATTTTTACAGAGGAAAAACTTACTCCCCTCCTGCAGGAATAGTCATTTAAAAGCTGCCTCTTGGCAGGGTGCAGTGGCTCACATCTGTAATCCAAGCATGTTGGGAGGCTGAAGCCGGAGGATCACTTGAGCCCAGGAGTTCAAGACCAGCCTGGGCAACATAGCAAGACTCTGGCCCTACAAAAAAACTTTTAAAAAAATTGGCCAGATGTGGTGGCACGCACCCGTAGTTAACACTATTTGGGAGGCTGAGATGGAGGATCGCTTGAACTCAGGAGTTAGAAGCTGCAGTGAACCATGATTTTATCACTGCACTTCAGCCTGAGGGACACAGTGAGACTTTGTCTCAAAAAAAAAAAAAAAAAAAAAAGAAAAAGAGAAAAAAATCTACCTCCTCCTTTGTATCAGTAGACATTTGTTAAATGGTGTCTATATAACTCTGCCCTGAGTCATTTTATTGGAAAGTTACTTCAATATCCAGGTGACTGGAATGGTTAACATGACTTGCAGGCTGGGAGCAAGTACCTAACCACATACTGACTAAAATATTAGCAGATAAGCAGATGGTGAAACTTTAGCTTCTGTCAGCAAGTTTCCTACATGAGGACTAAAGGGAAAGAAAGTTGAACTGATAACATGTATTATTCTAAAAGCTGACAGTAATTTAGACCTCCAGAAAAAAAAAAAAGTGAAAAAGAAGTAGACTCCAATCTTTCACAATTGAGATGGAGACAGGGAGAAGAAAAAGATGTCACAGTGTAAACTTTGAAAGCCACCCCCACAGCAGGAGTTATATTCAGGGAGGAACTCTTCCCAGATAGCGAGATGGATGGTTCCTCACGTCTTGTGGGTCTCTGCTCAATGTCAGCTCACCAATGAGGGCTGCTTTATTACTCATTGAAAAATAATGAATCCTGTCTTCACCCAATTCACCTCTAGCAACTTGAATTTGTCTATGTTCTTCACAGCACTTTTAACCACTGGACACACTAAATTACTGGTTGTTTAATGTATGTCCTTCCCACCACAATGCAGCATCAATGAGGGAAGCATTTTCTAATTTTGACATAATACTCGTTTTACACTTTCCTACTTTATAACCATTGTCCAGAACTGTGCCTGTCACAGTGAATGCTCAATAAATGCATGTCAAATGAATAAATGAACCCCAACTTGACTTTTTTTGTGTGAGAATTTAAGCCAAGTCCTAGGAGAAAAGCATCTTTTCCAAATGTTATTTGAAATAGGAAAAGAACAGAAAATTGTAATTTTGCAGAGAAGCTGAAAAGTTGTACAAGAGACAGGTATATCCAGGGTGAGGCTAATAAGAAAATTTGAAGGTGGCAAGAATCACTTGGGATAAAAAGAAAGCAGGAAGCCCTATACACTGGTTCCTTCTGAAGCTCTCAGTGTAGGTAAGTTGGGCCTTTCACAACAGTTTTTCAAATTAAAAACTGTAGCCCTTTAGTGAGCTGTGAAATAAATTTAAAAGCTTGTAATAAGCATTCAGAATAAAAGAACCAGGATAGAAACTATCAGAGTACTACCACCAGCAGGAAAGGGGTCCTTCTGAAATGCTTACTAAAGCTATAATATCAATCTATACAGACATGAAATGTTTGTTTCATTGTTCTAATTTCAATGAAAAATGCGTTTCTTGCTATGGCTCATGCTCAAAAGAGCTCAAAAACTTTGGTTCTAGAAGTTACCTGGTCCTTAATTAAACAAACTGCTTCAAATGGAAAGACAATTTCCAACCGTGACACCTTGGGAAAATATTCATAGGAGAGTATGTAACTCTTGGCGCATATATATATATATATATATATATATGATGAATACATGATTAGATTTAACAAACTGACCCTTAAAAATTGTAGTTTTTTTGAGGAGGACAAGTCTCTATGATGATGTGACAATTTTGAGCAAGAAGTTTCTTCATTTTTCCCAGGTTATAATGTCAACTAGTTGAACATAAAAGCCAGGTCTTTATAAAAATAAAGGAAAAATTGTATGACATCTATATTCTTTAATATATGCTTAATGGCTACTACATTTGTAGAAAATAAAAGCACAGCATATTTTTGAACCAGAGAGTCAGGCAACATTCAGCTGTGTCACTTTTGCCACTCAAATCTTAAATCTTCCACCTCTGGCACAGGGGAGGCAAAACCTGGGGGCAGTGATACGGATGGGCACTTTGGAAGAAGCAAATGAGGTTCAGATGGGCAGTGTGCTGAAAGGAAAGCAGTTTGCAACCTAGTTACTATCTGACACCTTAGGAAATAGTTATCTTCTTGTGGGGGGAGCTATCTCAGAAGTAGACATCAGAATCTTCATTCAAAAATTATTCCTTCCCAGAAATGAATGTGTTCCATATGATGGAAGCCTCCAGGAAAGCCACTGGGAAGGCTTGTTACTCAAAGTGTGGTCACAACCACGATGCTTGTAAGTTTTCATGGTATGAGGTTCAAGTGCACACACAAACATTCACGTGAAGGGCACCTAAGGCAGAAGAAACTGGATGTGCAGCCATCAGAAAACAAATAACGTTCTGCAACCCCCTTCATTCATTTTGGTTTGTGTATGACCTGTCCTAGCTGCAAGACCCCTAGAGTGAGGTCACATCCATCCATTAATGCCTTCATTATGCCAACAGATATTTATATTAACAGATATCTGCCATGTAACAGGACTATTTAGGCACTGATGATAGAGTAATAAACAAACAAACAAAAAAATTCCTCCACTCTTGGAGATTATATTCCAGTGGGGAGAGAGAGGGGACAAGCAAGTAAACCAAAGTCTATGAGACACAAGAGAAGGTAGGGCAGAGAGTAAAGGATGGCATTTCCAGTAAGGATGTCAGAAAAGGCCACCACTGTGAAATTAAAACTGAGCAGAGACCAGGATGAAGTAAGAGAGGGGCCGAGAGGATTGTAGGTGAGTTTTTCCAGGCAAAGACAAGGGCAAATAAGGGCTTTGAGGCAGAAGTATCTGTAGTTGGCAGAATAATCAACCCCCAAAGAATCCACGTTCTAATTCTCATCCTAAGAATATGTCAGGTTATGACAAAGGGTAATTAAGGTTGCAGAGGGAATTAAGGTTGCAAATCAGCTGAACTAAAAATAGAAGGCAATTCTACATTATCCAAGTGGGCCCAGTGCAATTAGAGGGTCCTTATAAAGTGGAAAAAGGATGAAGAGAGAATAAAAGGGAAATGCAACTATAGAAGAATGATCAGAGAAGCACTGTTGCTGGCTGTGAAGAGGGCCACAAGCTATGAAATTTGGCAGCCCCTACACACTGATAAGGGAACGATACAGATTCTCCTTCCCTAGAGCCTCCGGGAAGAAACAGGGACGGGCTGACAGCTTGATTTCAGCGTAGTGAGACCCATGTTGGACTTCAAACAAAGAACTGAAAGACAATACATTTTTATCATTTAATCCACTCAGTTTGGGGTAATATGTTACAGCAGCAGTAAGAAATGCAGTGTCCAGGTCGGGCACAGTGGCTCATGCCTGTAATCCCAGCACTTTGGGAGGCTGAGGCAGGCGGGTCACTTGAGGTCAGGAGACCAGCCTGGCCAACATGGTGAAACCCTGTCTCTATAAAAAATACAAAAATCCGCCGGACGTGGTTACAGGCACCTGTAATCCCAGCTACTTGGGAGGCTGAGGCAGAAGAATCGCTTGAACCTGGGAGGCGGAGGTGGCAGTGAGCTGAGATTGCACCACTATACTCCAGCCTGGGCGACAGAGCGAGCAATGTCCTTACCAGGTCTGGGAAATAGCAGGGAGGATGATGTGGCTGGAAAAGATGGAGCAAGAGGTAGAATACAGGAGATGTAGTCAGAGACGCAGAGGAGGATGAACAGCAGACCACGCAGGACTCTATAAGCTCCTTTAAGAGACTTCAACTTTAAGAAAAATAAGAAGCCATTCAGAGTATTTTTTTTTTTTTTAAGATGGAGTGTCGCTCTGTTGCCCAGGCTGGAGTGTAGCGGTGCGATCTTGGCTCACTGCAACCTGCCTCTTGGGTTCAAGCGATTCTCCTGTCTAAGCTTCCTGAGTAGCTGGGACTACAGGCGCTGGCCACCACGCCTGGCTAATTTTTGTATTTTTAGTAGAGACGAGGTTTTGCCATGTTAGCCAGGCTGGTCTCAAACTCCTGATCCTCCTGCTTTGGCCCCCAAAGTGCTGGATTACAGGCATGAGCCACTGTGCCCAGCCCTGTACAAGGTCTTAAGTAGAGGAATGGCAATCTGACTTACATTTCCAAAGGATCACTTTAGCTATGATATGGAGAACGCCTGTAGGAGAACATACTTTATACTATTGAGGGTGGATGCAGTGCGCCCAGTACGAAGGCTGTTGCAATCATCCAGGACAGAGGTTTGGCAATTTGGACCCGATGGCAGCAAGAGCAGGGGAGAGAAGTACAACAGATGGACAATCACGTACAAGGACTCTTAGCTGCTTGGTTCTTACCTGATTTCCCTTTTCTTTGAGTTGCTGTCTTCATTATATCAAGCTTTTTTTCCTTTTCTAAAAGGAATACATCATGTTTGAAGGGGTGATGCCCTAGAACACGCAAAGTCACATATTTAAAACAAACACACTAAAGGTACAACTGAACTTACTGGCAATTTGAATTACTACTGTATACTGATCAATCAATCAAAAGTAGTGTTTTCAAACACTTTTAGAAGAACCTAATGAAGAAATATCAGTATTTCAAGATCCAGACACATAGACATAAATATGTGCTATAAAAACCTATTTCTGAAAGGAGTTAGTTCGCTTGCCTTAGGTAGACAGCAAGGGAAGGGTCTTTGGAGAGCCCCTGACCCATGGGTTAGTGTCTTATTTTTATATAACATAAAAAGCAGCCTGGAAAAAAAATTTAAGCTGCAGGCACCAATAAGGGAACTACCACAGGGTGTTGTGCCTGGAGACATGCCCACGGCTGCACAGATAGAAAAACCTCCAGCCCATTTGGATAAAAGCTTGTACATACCTCCAGCTCGCTCAGATAAAGGAGCAAGGCCTGGCATAAGAATGCCTTTGTCCTCTGTATAGTCAGCGGGCTCCCAGGAAAAGGTTTCTTCTCCTTTTGTGGGCATAGGTACAGTGGGCTCCAGTGGGTTCCAGTGGGCACTCTACTTTCTTTTTTTCAAACTGTAAGTCCGGTCTCTATATATCTTTACTTCAACCTGATTGGTCCTGGGCCAAGGTTCCGGGCCAAGCTAAGTCACACTTTCTCCAAAATAGCCCACAAACTAAGCACATTCCTTCCCCTTCCCAGTCCATAAAAACCCCAAACCCCTGCCTCATAGGGGGAATTCCATTTGGGTCCCCCTCTCTGCTGGCAAAAAGCTTTCTTCTTTTGCTTATTAAACCTTCACTCTAACCTCACATTTCTGTCTGCACTCATTAATCTTCTTAAAAATAAAACAAAAAACTCCAGGTGTTATCTCAAACAACAGAAAAACTGTTACATCTTGGTGCATTACTAAAATTACATTTCTAACCAATGTCTTTTTTTTTTGAGACAGTCTCACTCTGTCACCCAGGCTGGAGTGCAGTGGCGTGATCTAGGCTCACTACAACCTCTGCCTCCTGGATTCAAGCGATTCTCATGCCTCAGCCTCCCAAGTAGGTGGGATAAGAGGCATGCACCACCACACCTGGTTAATTTTTGTATTTTTTATTTTTTGGTAGAGATAGAGTTTCATCATGTTGGCCAGGCTGGTCTCGAACTCCCGACCTCAGGTGATCCACCTGCCTCAGCCTCCCAAGGTGCTGGGATTGCAGGCGTGAGCCACTGTGCCTGGCCCCCGTTTATTTTCATTAAATCTCCTCCCACAAGTTCTCACACCACTCATGCAATTTACCAGTTTTATTTGCTATGTATTCCATTAATTTTAGTGAACTCTGATATTTCTATCTCATTTTATTTCACTAAAAACTACTGATAGGAAAGTCAGGTCTACAAATGTAGGCGACTAATTCAAGACCTCCAAAGTGTTGAACCCCTGAAGACACAAAATCACTCCAAGAGACTGACATTGAGTGTTAGAAAGCTCATGTCCTCACCCACTGACAGCAGGTTCCTGAAGTTCTCCAGCATCACATCTTGGTACAGATTCCTCTGGACAGGGTCCAGCAGCCCCAGCTCCTCCTCAGTGAAGACCACAGCCACATCCTTGAAGGTCAGTCCCTCCTATAACATCAAACACACCTTACTTCAGCCTTTTTAACAAACTCTTGAAAAGAAACAGCACTGAGAAAGTGGAGAGTATGTAGGGGGAGCTGGTCCAGATTTTCAGAGACTTAATGTGTAGATTTCTCAGCCCTTCTCCTTCCATCTTACCAATGCCACACTTTGATTTTCCTTAGTGTCAGTAAAAGTACATCAGTAACAATAGCCTTCAATTCCTTTGTGGCTTCACTGAGTCTATTTGTAAGTAACCATCTAGAACTCTAAATGACGCATCCTGAGCCACACGGGTTTCACCTTTCGGTAAATATTACCAATTGCCCCAGAAACATTTAGCAAGTCAGAACCAACATACATGATAACACCCACCTTCCTCCTCTCTCACATAGGAACGCTGGATGCTATCCCTTTTCATTAAAGTCTGCCAAACTAACAAGCTTTTGGTAACATATCTAAAACTGCTATGTAGTTTTCCTTCTGTACACCCAGGGCACACAGCACCAGCATTACCTGCAGCATTTAGTGTCATGATCTGGAGCCATCATGCCTCAGTGCACACAAGGGTACCCTTCAAAGTTGTGTGATCTTGGATAAGTTCACCTAGTTTCATCTTGGTATGATAGTTCTTACATGACAGAGTTCTTTCAAACGTTGAAAAAGAAACTACATATAGCATTTGGAATAGTGTATGGCGCAGACTAAGTACCTAAGAAACATTAGCTATTATCTATTATTATTACCATCATCATCTATTTCACCTCATTTCATGACTGTATATTATTCGAGGGAACTGAAATCTGCATCTACCTGTTCTAATTAATGAATATTTAATTTTCAATATTGTTTTCATTATAACCAATCCAGCAAAGAACATCATTTCATGTAGATCTTACTTTCTTTCCTTTTTTTTTTCTTTTTTTTGAGACAGAGCTTCACTCTTGTTGCCCAGGCTGGAGTGCAATGGCACAATCTTGGCTCACTGCAACCTCTGCCTCCTGGGTTCAAATTATTCTCCTGCCTCAGCCTCCCGAGTAGCTGGGATTATAGGCATGCGCCACCATGCTCAGCTAATTTTGTATTTTTAGTAAAGATGGGATTTCACCATGTTGGTCAGGCTGGTCACGAACTCCTGATCTCAGGTGATCCGCCTGCCTTGGCCTCCCAAAGTTCTGGGATTACAGGCATGAGTCACCCGACTGTCAGATCTTACCTTCGTGTGTATTTAAAATGATTGCAGGCCATGCACAGTCGCTCACACCTGTAATCCCAGCACTTTGGGAGGCCAAGGATGGAGGATTGCTTGAGCCCAGGAGTTCAAGACCAGCCTGGGCAACATGGTGAGACCCTGTCTCTACAAAAAGTACAAAAAATTAGCTGCATGTGGTGGCGTGTGCCTGTGGTCCCAGGTACTCAGGAGGCTGAGGCGAGAGAATTGCTTGAGCCCAGGTAATCAAGGTTGTGGTGAGCGATGATCACACCACTGTACTCTAGTCTGGGTTACAGAGTGAGACCCCGTCCCAAAAAAATAAATTAAACTAAATAACTGCAAATAAAAAATAAAACATCAGAAAAAAAGCACATTAAAAATTATGACCACATAATGGCAGATTTTCTTCCTTTTTTCCTGCCTCCCTAATCTTTCAAGAGAATACAAGCACTTGGCTGGGTGCAGTGGCTCATGCCTGTAATCCCAGCACTTTGGGAGGCCGAGGCAGGTGGATCATGAGGTCAGGAGTTCAAGACCAGCCTGGCCAATATGGTGAAACCCCATCTCTACTAAAAATACAAAAATTAGCCAGGCATGGTGGTGCGTGCCTGTAGTCCCAGCTACTCAGGAGGCTGAGGCAGAAGAATCACTTGAACCCGGGAGGCATAGGTTGCAGTGAGCCGTGATCGTACCACTGCACTCCAGCCTGGGCAACAGAGCCAGACTCTGTCTCAAAAAAAAAAAAAAAAAAAAAAAAAAAGAGAGAGAGAGAGAATGCAAGCACCTTGCTTCTCTATATGATGACCAAAAGCAGGTTATAAATTTTCCAATGGTTTTGATAATCTAATTAGGAAGAACAATTCTATTATTCTTACTTACTTGATTATAAATGAATACCAATGTTTATTATGAATTTCATCTTTTTTGGCACCTGTGTGGTAAATATTTTTGCCCCAACTTGTTTTTCTCTTAATACTCTGTAAGGTATCTTTTGTCACACCCACTAAAACACTTACCAAAAACCTCACCCCCTGATCCCCATGCTTCAGGGTACTCCTCAGAGATGTTCTTGTGTTGTAATGAGGGTGCAGAGGTTGAATGAACCACTTATTAGTAGAATTGACAGTAGAATGATGGCTGTAAACTAGTTTAACCACTGTGGAAGACAGTGTGGCGATTCCTCAGGGATCTAGAACTAGAAATACCATTTGACCCAGCCATCTCATTACTGGGTATATACCCGAGAAACCACTATCTGAGGGGGATATCCGTAGAGTAATTTAAAGACTTTATATAACCACTGTGCTAATCACTGTCCTTGTGCACCTGGAGTGCTGAGCATCTTAGTGCATCTGAGGTGCCACCACATTAGGAACACAAGAGGTCCCCCACTACCTGTGGACGTTATCACCCAACAGGGCACTCCAGACACCCACACCACGGGTCATTCATTGAGAAATATTTGTTTCCTTTTGTCTCTCACTTTCACTTAAATGGAATGGCTAATGTTTCTGACCCCTGACTTTCTATGCCAATCTGAGAAGGTTTCTCATATTTCACCTGTTTAAGAGGAAGAAGAGACCACAAACCTCCTCATTCTGCTGTTCTGAATAAATACAGTAACAGAACACAAGTGACTGGCAAATCTTCCGTGTCACTGGACATTTTAAATGAAGGTTATTACCTACTACTTTGGTCAAACTGGTTACTTTATAAAGGCAATAAGACACTAGTAAATAAAATACATACAAAGTATGATCGAGGCACAAAGCACACAGAATCTAGCTCTTCCTATATGAAAACTCCAACAATATTATTTGTGTGAAGCAGCATTATAGCCTGTTGTGCTGTGCCATGTTAGAGTATTCTATCTACAGCCAGTCACTGTGGCTCATGCCTGTAATCCCGGCACTTTGGGAGGCCAAGGCAGGTGGATCATCTGAGGTTAGGAGTTCGAGACTAGCCTGACTAACATGGAGGAGTCCCATCTCTACTAAAAATACAAAATTAGCTGGGCATGGTGGCACATGCCTGTAATCCCAGCTTCTCGGGAGGCTGAGGCAGGAGAATTGCTTGAACCCAGAAGGCAGAGGTTGTGGTGACAAAAAAATCAGCAGAAAGTTTTCAGAATTGATTTTTGAGGAAACGGTTATGTAGGAAAATTGTCATTGCAGTGTTATGTAAAACAATAAAATTCTTAAATCACCTAAATGTCCATGAATGGGAAGTAGTCAAAAATAAAAAGGCACATTAATTAAATGGGTATATGGCATAACCTCAAAAAATGAACATTATTTAGTACTTAAGGAAAAAATAACAAAAATGAGATATATATCATGAATACCAATATAGTTATGAATGCACATTAGGAAAAGACTATAAGAAAATAAAAACAGCTAATACGTAAGCAGAGAAGTAAAGTAGGAGAACTGTTCATTCACACCAATTTTTCTACTCCATAAAATAAATACAGTTGTCGCTCAATACGCTTGGGGAATTGGTTCAAGGACCCCTGAGGATACCATAATTTGTGGATGCTCAAGTCCCTTATCTAAAATAGTGTTTGTACTACAGTCAGCCCTCCACATCCATGGGTTCCACATCCACAGACTCAATCAACCGCAAAAGGAAAATATGTATGGTCAGCTTTACATAGACTCAGGTTTCAATCTGTGGTTGGTTGAATCCACAAATGCAAAATTCAAAGACGCAAAACCCCTAGATGTGAAACCCACAGATACAGAAGGTCAACTGAAATAATAAAATAAACAACATCTAAAAACAAAGTCAACTCAAAAGGCAGAAGGATGCACTTAGCATAAACAGGTTCTCAAATGCCCGTTGTTCTTGAGTCTTCCTCAGGAAACATGAGAATAGTGAGATGGAATTTTAACAGCAAGAGTGGCAAGCCTTATTCACCTTGAATGTGGTCATTTTTCCTCCTGTTTCTGGGAATTTGCAGAGTCCTGAGTTATGCCATTTGAGAGAAGGCAGAATCGTGCCTGGAACACTATGGAAGACACAAAAAGAGACATGAAAGCGTGGCCAGGGATGTCCCCACCAACACAGATGTGTACTGTGAATTAGCACACGAATGGTCACGGTGGCATTATTCATAATAATCCCAAACTGCACACAACCAAAATGCCCTCCTATGGAAAAATGGATAGACAAATCCTGGCATATCCATACAATGGAATCTTATTTGGAAATTAAGAGGAATGAAGTACTGACTCATGCTACAACATGCATGAACCTTGGAAACACTATGCTGAGTGAAAGAAGCCAGGCACACCAAACCACAGATTGTATGATTTCATGTATATGAAACGTTCAGAACAGACAAATGTTTATAAAGAAAGTAGGTTACTTGTTGATGGGGATTTAGGATAAGAATGGGGATTAACTGTAAATGGGCAAGAGGAGTCCAATTGGGGGATGAAAATGATCTAAACTAAATGATGATGATGATTACTACACTCAGCAAAGTTCCTAAAGATTACTGAATTGTACACTTGAAATGGGTGAATTCTGATACATAAAATACACCTCAATAAAGTTGGAAAAAAATTATTAATCTACATGTCATTTAATTTAACAAGACTGCGTTCTGAGTCCATATTGATAGAATATTTACTTTTGAATGAATGAATAAGCAAACAGGGGAACAGGGGATGCTGGTCTTTACAGTATGTTGCCCACTAACAAGTATATCTACTCATAAAAATTAATTTTATTTTATTTTAATTTATTTGAGACAGAGTTTTGCTCTTGTTGCCCAGGCTGGAGAGCAGTGGTGCAATCTTGGCTCACTGCAACCTTCTCCTCCTGGGTTCAAGCGATTCTCATGCCTCAGCCACCAGAGTAGCTGGGATTACAGGCGCGCACTACCACATGTGGCTAATTTTTGTATCTTTAGTAGAGACGGGTTTTCTTTTTTTTTTTTTTTTCTTTTTCTGAGACAGAGTCTTGCGCTGTTGCCCAGGCTGGGGTGCAATGGCGCAATCTCGGCTCACTGCAAGCTCCGCCTCCCGGGTTAACACCATTCTCTTGCCTCAGCCTCCCAAGTAGCTGGGACTACAGGTGCCCGCCAACACGCCCGGCTAATTTTTTGTATTTTTAGTAGAGACGGGGTTTCACCATGTTAGCCAGGATGGTCTTGATCTCCTGACCTCGTGATCCGCCCGCCTCGGCCTCCCAAAGTGCTGGGATTACAGGCGTGAGCCACCGCGCCCGGCCAGAGACGAGTTTTTGTCATGCTGGCCAGGCGGGTCTCAAACTCCTGGCCTCAAGTGATCCACAGGCCTTGGCCTCCCAAAGTGCTGGGATTACTCGGGCTGTGACCCTGAGTGCCTCAGTTCCATAACTCAGGACTCAGGCATGACCCACCATGCCCTGCCCTCTTATACTATTTTTGCAACTTTTCTATAGACTTAAAATTATATAATTACTGTGTTAAAGTTTTTTTAAAAAATCAGGAAATAGTCATAGGAGAAATAATAATGAGAAGAATAAGAATGAGCATGATAGAATATGGCAGGTCACTAGTTTATTATCTCTTTATCTGGAAATTTCCATGGATAAGCAGATAAATAGAAAAACATTGAGAAATGTATAATAAAAATTTTGTAAAACATTTATAAGTAATATAAACATGGAACCACTAAAACAAAATGCATTAGAAATTTAACCATTACTATCTTTACATCCTGATTTCATAGGTAATTACAATTTTTGTATCTTCGTATTTCTGTAATTTCTGAATGCTTCACAGTGATACGGTTCTATTAGAATGTGAAATATTTGTAATAAATGAAACAAAATAGTTGACAGTTTTTAAAAACTGAGAAAACTCCAAGGCAATTAGCCTTGCTCTTAAGGTCCTTTAATCAAGTTCTAACTTACTTTCCCCACCTGAGTACAGCTAGTTCCTCTGCCTCAATGAGAATATATCCAAGAGATGATCAACTCGGGCTCTGACCCTGAATGCCTAGGTTCCAACCCAAGTTTCACCTCTTACTACTTGGATGACCAGTACCTCTCCACAGAGTCACGTTGCGGCTTAAACGTATCTAATTGTATAAATCCCCTAGAATTGAAGTTAGCAATTAAGGCTTAATTATTATAAATGCCCATGCCCTATTACACATGCTACAAAGATACAGTCTCTGTAAAAGAAAAATGACAAGTCACACTCACGTGGAGCTTTGCTTTCAGTAGCCAAGAAGTCAGTCCGCGCAGTCCTTTTTCAGGCTGGGGAAGGAGAAAGCTGTGAAACATCCTGACTGGGTCGCTGTCCCTGAGAAAAGTTAAATGCTCCCCTCCCTTCGTGGAAGTGGACGCAACCCTCGCCTGCCTAAAAAGAGGTCAGAAGGCGTCCGGGATCGTCCAGCGTCCTGCAGGGATCAGAGATAAGGGCTGAGGCCCCTGCTGCTGGAGCTCTGACCCCACCGGGGGACCTAACAGGTTTCGTGGGAAAGTAACAAGAAACCACCACTCACCAAGTGACAGGGACTGTTTGTGTTGTGTAACCTATTCCAGTTACCAAAACGATTCTACAAAGATGGTCCTAACGTCCCCATTTTAAAGAACAGCAAGGAGAGGCCCAGGGAGATTAACACGCCAACCTTGCACTGTAAAAAAGTGACTGCGCGCCTGGAGTGCAGGGAGGCGGAGTGGGCGAGCTCAGAGCCCCGGAAACCCTCAAACCAGGCGAGACGCGACCCAACCAAGTCCCAATGCCCCCCGCCTCCCGCCGCGGGACACGAGGGGAGCCCCAGCCCAAGAAGGCTCCGCTGACACAACAAAAGCCGCCGCCCTCGCCCCACCAAACCTCTGCTCTCCCACGAGGCTTCTTTTCCCATAACCGGACCACCAGGTCCCAGCGAGCCCCAATCTTAAGTCCCTGACATTAGGAGGGGCCCGCGAGTCGCGGAACTGGAAGAAACTACCGTGGAATGTGCCGTGACAATCGCCCCCTCTTCCCTGGAGCGGAAGTGCCCGCGACTCCACTGATTGGCGGGACTACATTTCCCAGAATTCCCCGGATCCCCCTGCGTGGGTCAAATGGACCACGACTCCACTGAGCGTTTGGATTACACTCAGAATGCTGAGGGAAAAACGTTCAGAATCTCACCCTTCAGGGAAAAGCGATGGGACTCCGCGGTGCTCCTTGCCTACGATTCCCGCACTGCCCATGGGGAACGAATCCTATATCGCTGAGCGCTTGGTAGGGAATGTGGACTGTGACCCTGAGAGTCGTCCTTCCCTCTGCCTGAGTCCTTGAGCGAAAATATTGAATAGACAGCAATTCCTGAAGTCTAAACGCCTCCCAGGACTACGGAGGATTATTGGAAAGAGAACAAGCGAGGAGATACAATCTTCAAGGACTAAATGGGGAATGACTTTTTAGGGGTCAGTAGATGATTGATGATTGATTACTATAAACTGATAATATGAGGCCAAAACTAAAAGTTGGAAGAGTGAGCAAGTACAATGGTTTGGGAGAGGCAATGAAGAACAAAGAAGGTGCCAGCCCCTACTCCAGACGCTGTGGTACCACTGGTTTGGCAGGAAAAACAATCATCATTTGAGAGGGCCAGTGGGGAAGCCCTGTCCTCATGGAAAAGCTATCTTCTTTCGTTTACACTTTTCATGGTATTATGTCTACTGAAGAGGTAAAAACACCAAATTTCAGAGAAGCTCTTAAATTGCCCAATACTTCAAAGCAAGTATAACTGGTGAAGCGCTTGGCATTGATGTCAGACACCCAATGCCTATGATTTATTTAATGCAGTAGCATTAAGGAGGATCCTATACGTGAAGGAACATATTTTATTTTCTTCCTTTATATTTTTTGGTTAAAATATCGTCATTATAGTTAGCAATTTGGAATCTGGCTTACATTGGTTGATACAAATAAATAATAGAATAAAGCAAAATCAGAAAAAAACCCATCTAAAATCTTTCTTCAAGATAACCAGGGGCTGGGTGCGGTGGCTCACGCCTGTAATCCCAGCACTTTGGGAAGGCCAAGGCGGGCGGACCATGAGGTCAAGAGTTCGAGACCAGCCAGGAGAACATGGTGAAAACCCATATCTACTAAGAATACAAAAATTAGCCGGGCATGGTGGTGCGTGCCTGTAATTCCAGCTACTCGGGAGACTGAGGTAGGAGAATCGCTTGAACCTGAGAGGCAGAGGTTGCAGTGAGCCGAGATCATGCCACTGCACTCCAGCCTGGGCGACAGAGCAAGACTCTGTCACGGAAAAAAAAAAAAAAAAAAAGATAACCAGATTTTTTTCTCCCCATAAACATACATTGGCCTATTGATATGGTTTAGATCTGTGTCCCCACCCAAATCTCATGTTGAAATGTAATCCCCAGTGTTGGAGTTGGGGCCTGGTGGGAGGCGATTGGATCACCGGGGAGGTTTCTAATGGTTTAGCACCATCCCTCTAGTGCTGTTCTCCTGATAGAGTTCTCATGAGATCTGCTTGTTTAAAATTGTGTAGCATCTCACTCCTCGCTCTTTTCCTCCTACTCTGGCCATGTGAAGTGCTGGCTCCCTAGTCGCCTTGCAGCATGGTTGTAAGTTTCCTGAGGCCTCCCCAGAAGCTGAGCTGATGCTGCCATGTTTCCTTTACAGGCTGCAGGACTCTGTGTGAGCCAATGAAACCTCTTTATAAATTACCCAGACTCACGTATTTCTTTATAGCAATGGGGGAATGGACTAATACACTTATCAATCTATATTTTTGTTTTTTAAAAAATGAAGTCTCACATTCTAGATTCATTTTATAAACTAAAAAAATACCTTTTCACAATTGTGTTTACATAAAAACAAGGTTACTATGCTAACCACACAATGCCACACATCCCCCTCTTTGAAAATTGACTGACTGCTATTTCTATACTAGTTACAGCTGTATTGTTGCTCTAGTCGGCCCTTCCAAATGACAAAATTTATTGAGATGCTCCATCTCGGCCAGGCGCAGTGGCTCACGCTTGTAAACCCAGTACTTTGGGATGCCAAGGCCAGCGGATTACTTGAGGCCAGGAGTTTGAGACCAGCCTGGCCAACATAGTGAAACACTGTCTCCACTAAAAATACAAAAAATCAGCTGGGCGTGGCATGGTGATACATGCCTGTAATCCCAGCTACTCAGGAGGCTGAGGTACAAGAATCACTTGAACCTGGGAGGCCGAGATCACGCCACTGCACTCCAATCTGGGTGACAGAACGAGACACTGTCTCAGAAAAAAAAAAAAAAAGTGGAAGGGAGGGAGGAAGGAAGGGAAATGCACTCCAGCTGAGTGACAGAGCGAGACTCTGTCTCAGAAAAAAAAACAAAAAAAAAAAGGAAGAAAAGAAAGAAATGTAAATCAGTCAATATCTTCTAAAAAATTTAAAATTATTTTTTCCAGGGTTATATTTTTAACATTTTGATCTTCAGCGATTCCAACATTCAAGATTATGTCTTTCTGGATTATGATCAATTTCTGTCCTTAGTGCATGATCTCAGGATATACCAGATACTAGTTTTTATCCATTACTGGTGCTGCTAAACTTGAACAGTTGATTAAGGGGTTTCTCTCCAGAATTCTGCACTCTAAAATTATTTTTCCCCTAAAAAGTTACTACTATCTGGTGAAAAACTGAGATACTCCAACTCATTCTATGTTGATTTTTTGGCATTATGCTCTAAGAAAAAGCTTTCCATCTATATTATTTATTTGTTTATACCAGTGTGGATTTGTGAATTCTTGTTATATTAATGAGTTCACATCTACTACTGTTATTATGTATTTTGATTCTCTGGTTGTCTCAGATTTTGCCAGTAAAATCCTCTTCAAGCAGTCCCCTCTTGCCTTCTGGCTCCTCCTGTTCATCATGATATGAGCTCTTTGTGCACTGGTTTACTTTCTGATACTGTGTGTTCCAAGTTCATTAGGTATTTTTCAAGTTCATTGGGTATTTTCCCTACCCTAGCCATGAGATCAGATATTTCTCCTAGGACTTCTGGTTCCTATTTGTGGAAAATGTAGTTAGAAACAAAGAACTGAGTGCTAGGTATGATCGCTGCTACCTTAGTGTTTTTTATTCTTGACCCTCTCAGCTGACAAAACTAGCAAATATATACTTTTTTTTTTTTGAGACGGAGTTTCCCTCTTGTTGCCCAGGCTGGAGTGCAATGACGTGATCTCGGCTCACTGCAACCTCTGCCTCCCAGGTTCAAGAGATTCTCCTGCCTTAGCCTCCCAAGTAGCTGGGATTATAGGCATGCACCACCACGCCCGAATAATTTTATATTTTTAGTAGAGCCGGGGTTTCACCATGTTGGCCAGGCTGGTCTTGAACTCCTGACCTCAAGTGATCTGCCCACCTCGGCCCAGCCTTTTTGTTTTTTGTTTTTTTGGTAGAGACAGAGTCTCACCATGTTGCTCAGGCTGGTCTCAAACTTCTAGACTTAAGTGATCCTCTCGCCTCAGGCTTTTTTCACTTTTTATACTGCTATTGATGTCTAGTTATTATGATCTAGACTGTAGTTGGAAAATATATTTTTATGGTGTCAAACTTTTACATTTATCAAGACTTGTTTTGTGGCCTAATATATGGTCTGTCTTGAAGAATGTTTCATGTGCAGTTGAGAAAATGTGTATTCTGTTGGGGGGCGGAGAGTTATGTCAATGTCTCTCAGGTTGAATTGGTGTATAATGTTCTTCAAATTATCTGTTTCCTTATTTATCTTTTGTCTGGGTGTCCTATGCATTTGAAAGAAAGGTAGGGAGTCTCTTACTATTATTGGAGAGCTGTATATTTCTCCCTTCAATTCTGTCAGTATTTACATTTTATATTTTGGAACTCTGATATTTGGTGCACATATGTTTATAACTGTTTCATCTTAGTGAAATGAACCTTTTAGCAATATTTAATGTCTCGTTTAACAGTTTTTGACTTAAAATCTAATTTATCTGTTAGTATAGCTACCTGTGCTGTTATTTTTTTTACATGGGATATCTTTTTCCATCATTTGCCTTTCACCTATGCATGTCATTAATTCTAATGTGCAGAGCATATAATTACATATTGTCTTTCAATCATTTTGACAAACTACATCTTTTTATTGGGGAGTTTCATTAATTTCACTTAAACTAATTATACATAGGTAAGGACTACCATTTTAAATTTGTTTTTTATATGTCCTATTGTGTTTTTGCCTCTCATTTCCTTCATTACAATTGTCCTTTGTGTTGAGTTCTTTTTTTGTAGTGATTAATTTTGAATCACTTTTTTTTTTTTTTGAGATGTTGTCTCACTATGTCGCCCAGACTGGAGTGCAGTGGCACAATCTCAGCTTACTACAAGATCTCCACCTCCCGGGTTCAAGCAATTCTCCTGCCTCAACCTCCCGAGTAGCTGGGACTACAGGCACGTGCCACCATCCCCAACTAATTTTTTTTGTATTTTTAGCAGAGATGGGATTTCACCATGTTGGCCAGGATGGTCTCAATCTCTTGACCTCATGATCTACCCGCCTTGGCCTCCCAAAGTGCTGGGATTACGGGCATGAGCCACCCTGCCTTGCCTTGAATCACTTCTTATTTTCTTTTGTGCATGTTTCATTGATATTTTCTTTATAGTCACCAAAAGTATATGTAACATCCTAAAGTTATAACAGTCTTTTAAATTGATACCAACTTAACTTCAATCAGATATAAAAACCCTACTCCTTCACAGCTCTTTCCTTCCCGCACTGTTACTGATCTCATAGTACATCTTTACATATCGTGTACTTATTTACATAGATTGGTAGTCATTTTTATGCATTTGTCTTTTACGTTGTATGGAAAATAAAAACTGGGATTACAAACTAAAATTACTATCATAATGTTGTTTGTATTGCTTCATGCAATTGCCTTTAGTATAGATCTTTATATTTTCATATGATTTCAAGTTATTGTCTAAAATCCTTTCATTTCAACTTGAAGGATTGATTCCCTTTATCAATTTTTTTTTTTGAGATGGAGTCTCACTGTGTTGCCCAGGCTGGAGTGCAGTGGCACAATCTCGGCTCAGTGCAACCTCCACCTCCCAGGTTCAAGCAATTCTCCTGCCTCAGCCTCCTGTGTAGCTGGGATTACAGGCGCCCACGACCACGCCCGGCTAATTTTTATATTTTTAGTAAAGACAGGGTTTCACCATGTTGGCCATGCTGGTCTCAAACTCCTGGCCTCAAATGATCTGCCTGCCTCAGCCTCCCAACCTTTTCAATTCTTGAATAACTTGTCTACTGGCAATTCTCTCAGCTTTTGTTTTTCTGAAAAGTTATTAATTGATCTCTCATTTTGGAAGTATAGTTTTGCTGAATATAGAATCCTCAATATACCAGGTTTTTTTCCAGCACTTTAATACATCATCTGGCCTTGGAGGTTTGCTGAGAAATCCACTGATGATCTTTTTTTTTTTTTTTTTTTCTTTTTTGAGACAGTCTCCCTCTGTCACCCAGGCTGGAGTGCAGTGGCATGATCTCGGCTCACTGCAATCTCTGCCTTCCAGGTTCAAGTGATTCTCCTGTCTCAGCCTCCTGAGTAGCTGGCACTATAGGTGTACACCACCACGCCTGGCTAATTTTTGTAGTTTTAGTACACACAGGGTTTCACCGTGTTGGCTAGGCTGGTCTCAAACTCCTGACCTCAAGTGATCCACCTGCTTCAGCCTCCCAAAGTGCTGCGATTATAGGCATGAGCCACTGTACCTGGCCAGAGCCATTGATGATATTATTGAGGATCTCTTGTACATGACAAGTCACTTTCATGCTGCTGCTTTCAAGATGTTCCTTGTCTTTTTGATTATAATGTGTCTCAGTGTGAGTCTCTTTGGATTTATCCTACTTGAAAACAAGAATTCAGTCACTGCCAAAATGTGTGATTATTTCTCTTTTTGAGTACACAGTCACAGAAGTTCATGACCATAGGTCCTTATGGAGATCTCTGGGGAAAAAATTAGTGCTGTAAATTTTTTGCAATCTAGCAGGGTCCATCCTTATCCAGAACTGCCCTCCCACCCCATCAAAGGAATTGTGGATTTGTAAAGTGGACATGTCTTGGAATTTATTTTTGGGCTGTGAGTCTGCATTAGACGATTCAAGTTACACTTTGGTTCACTTGAAATAGAAACCTTCTACCTATATAGATTATGTAACAATTTAATAGACTTCTCATAAACTTATTTTTTTGAGATGGAGACTCACTGTATCACCCAGGCAGGAGTACAGTGGCACGATTCTGGCTCACTGCAAACTTCCGCCTCCTAGGCTCAAGCGATTCTCCTGCCTCAGCCTCCTGAGTAGCTAGGATTGCAGGCGCACACCACCACACCTGGCATATTTTTTGTATTTTTAGTAGAGATGAGGTTTCACCACATTGGCTAGGCTGGTCTAAAACGCCGCCTCAGCCTCCCTAAATGCTGGAATTACAAGCGTGAGCCACCATGCCCATCCTCATCAATTTATTTATTATGTTATGGATAATAAGACCAACAAAGGAAGGTCAACTAACCTGACTTGAAGCCTCCCTCCTTTTTCAAATGCAGAGGAAGGATGATAATCTGTAATAATCCCCACCGATTGTGAAAATATAACCAAGTCAAAGTTATATTAGGGAACTCACCAGTGTCCACAAAAGAAAAAGGAAATCAAATCTGTGGTGAAAAATGGCAAAGAATATTAGCCCCACATAAGCTCAGGGTACTAGATATAGAACTAGGTATTTAATATTCAGCGTGGTTGGGAGAAACAGAAATATTAACAAGAAACACAATCAGTCCCACATGTTAACACCATGTTGTAACCAAGTTGATGATCCAGGACACACCAGAGAGCAGACATAGACCCTACCAAACTTTTAATAATTATAATAAGCAAGTATTTTCTGTTTAATCTGCTGAGTGTTCTGTTACAGTTACCTTGGAGATGAGCTATTCTGGTATCGGTGACAGTTAAAAACCAAAACACACAAAACAAAAAGAAGACTGAGCCAACAGTTTTCTAGTACTATGTGCACAAAAAGTTAATATAACAGGCCTGAGACTGCAAATCTTAGAAAGGACTGCTTATAAGACTGGCCTTTAGCTGGTGTTAGGAAACACGGAGTTTGAGAGGGTTGCCACCATTCCATAACTGGTAGGCATGGTTCAAGTTATTCTGAACACTTGCTCCCCTTCTTGGAGTCTAGAATCTTGATATGTACCAGAGGGATGGTACCTACATGATTAGTTCCAATAAGAACCTTTGGTACGGGTTGATAATTAATTTCCATTGTAGACATTTCACAAGTACAGTCACAATTCAATACTGGAGGAATTGAGACCTGTTACTCCATGCACAAAGGATCTTTACAAATTTACATCTGATTCCCTCCAGATATTATACAAGAACCTTTTCCCTTTGCTGATTATTTGTATCCTGTCACTATAATATAGTCATGAGTACAACTATATTCTGAGTCCTCTTAGCAAATCATAGAATCTGGAGAGATTGTCTTAGGGACCTCCAACCCACTATGCAAATTGAGACAGCATGGATCTTCATAAAGTACCTAGCATCCTGAAAAGATACAGTCTAGAACATTAAGTATAAAAATCAAATCTATCTCTAGTAGATTTGATTATAAAAATCAAATCTATCTCTAGTAGATTTGATTATAAAAATCAAATCTATCTCTGGTAGATTTGATTATAAAAATCAAATCTATCTCTAGTAGATTTGATTATAAAAATCAAATCTATCTCTAGAGATAGATTTTGCTGAAGAAAGCCTTTTAACCTAATGTACTCAAAATATCACCACGGTGTCTATGAATGGAATGGCGCTCAATCCTGCTCTTTGTCCTAACTGGTTCCAGACTGTTAGAGGCCGCACTGCTGTCATGCTATTGTTCCCTACCCATACACACCTTTTCTTAAAAGAATCTTTGTTGATTTTTTACATCCACATGTATACCCCTTGATTTCTATCTCCAGGATTTTTCCACTCCTTCACTTATGCTTAAAGCGAGCTCACATGCATTATGTATGAGGACAGCTGAAGACACTCACCAATTTTTCTCTATATTCAAACTAGAGAATTTTTTTTTGAAAACCAATTTCCACAATCTTATTCCTTAATTTTGAGTCATGTCATACTATTATATGATACTTGGTACATATCCAAAGAAAAGGAAATCAGTATGTTAAAGTGTTATCTCCACCCCCCCATGTTTATTGCAGCACCATTCACGATAGCCAAGAAATAGGCCAAGGTATGTAATCAACCTAAGTGTCCACTGGATGAATGAATAAAGAAAATGGGGCAAATATACACATCAGAGTACTATTTAGCCATGAAAAACAACAAAATTCTATCACTCACAGCAAAGTGAATGAGACTTACAGGGCATTATATTAAGTGATATATGCCAGGCACAGAAAGATACATACCACATGTTCTCACACATATGTGGAAGCTCAAAAAGTTAACTTCATAGAAGTAGAGAGTAGAATAGTAGTTCTTAGAGGTGAGGAGGCAGGGTGGTAGCCAAAGGTTGGTTAATGAATACAGAAATACAGGCAGGTAGGAGGAATAAGTTCTAGTGTTTTACACCACTACAGGGTGACAGTAATTAACAACGTATTATTTTCAAATAGCTAGGACAGTGAATTTTAAGGGTTCCCAACATAAATAAATGATAAATGTTTGAGGTGATAGGTATGTTAATTACACTGATTTGATCATTACACATTGTATACTTGCATTAACTATCACACTGTACCCCATAAATGAGTACAACAGTTATGTGTCATTTAAAAATAATGACAAAAGCGTATCAAGATTCAAGCGCCTCTTGTAGCGCTTCCCACAGTCCTCACATTTAGATGTTTTCTCTCCACTTTGGTCTCTTTGTTGGTCTTTAAGGCATGAACTGTGCACAATGCTCTTCCCACAGTCCTCACATTGAAGTAGTTTTTCTCTACTGTGGAGTCTCTGATGGGTTAGATGAGTTGAGGCCCATCTGAAGCTCTTTCCACACTTCTCACATTTGTATGGCTTTTCCCCAGTGTGAACCCTCTGATGGGAATGAAGCTGTGAATTCTCAGTAAATCTCTTCCCACACTCTTCACATTTGAATGGCTTTTCATCACCATGGAGTCTCTTATGATTCAAAATACTTGAGGCCCGGCTAAAGCTCTTCCCACATTCTTTACAATTATAAGGTCTCTCTCCGGTGTGGACCCTCTGGTGCATGTCAAGATTAAACTTACTGTTGAAGCCCTTCCCACACTCTTCACATTTGTATGGCTTTACTCCAGTGTGGACTCTGCGATGAGAATAAAGTTGTGAATTCTGAGTAAATCTTTTCCCACACTCTTCACATTTGAATGGTTTTTCTCCACTGTGGACTCTACGATGGGTATAAAGTTGTGAATTCTGAGTAAATCTTTTCCCACATTCTTCACATTTAAATGGTTTTTCTCCACTGTGGATTCTCTGATGATTCAAAAGACACGAGGCCCAGCCAAAGCTCTTCCCACATTCCTTACAATTATAGGGTTTCTCTCCTCTGTGGACCCTCTGATGAAAGTCAAGATCCAACCTCCTTTTGTAGCCCTTCCCACACTCCTCACATCTATATGGCTTTTCTCCACTGTGCGCTCTCTGGTGAGAATAACGTTGTGAATTTGTATAAAATCCCTTCCCACATTCTTCACATTTGAATGTTGTCTCTCCACTGTGGACTCGCACATGTCTTGAAAGACCTGAGGCCCATCTGAAGCTCTTTCCACATTCTTTACAATTATATGGCTTCTCCCCTGTGTGGTCTATCTGATGCTTATAAAGATCTTGCCTATAAATGAAGCGTTTTCCACATTCCTCACATTTGTACCGTTTCTCTCCTGTGTGGACCATGCGATGACTATTAAGTGCTGATTTCAGACCAAAGCTCTTACCACATGTATCACATCTGAATGGTTTCTCTCGCATGTGAACCATGGAATGCCTATTAAGATTTGCTCTACTACGGAAGCTCTTACAACATATATCACATTTGAATGGCTTCTCCCCAGTATGGATTCTTTGATGTTCCTGAAGCTGGGAATCATGAATGAAGGCCTTCCCACATTTCTCACAAATATGAGGTTTCACTCCTGTGTGTAATTTACGATGAACATAAAGTCCTGATCTACGACTAAAGCCTTTCCCACACTGCTCACATTTGAATGGTTTCTCTCCAGTGTGGATTCTCTGATGAATTTGCAGATGTGAGCTCTGATTGAATTCCTTACCACACACATCACAATTATAGAGTTTCTCCCCCATGTGAACTCTCTGATGAATACGAAGAGCTGAGCTATAACAGAAACTCTTTCCACATTCATCACATGTATGAGACTTCTCTCTTGACTGTAGTTGTTGATGAAGATCAAGGACGGAGACATCACTAAAGGACTTTTTACACGTCCTACCCTCAGAAGGTTTCTGTCTTACGTGAATTATAGATAGTCCTGCATCAACCTGGCAGGGCATATCATCTTGTTTGGAGAACTGAAAGCTGTTTACCATGGAGTCTTGAAACCTGGTTAAGTCACTTGAAATTTGTTCCCAGGTTTGATGACTGAACAAGCCTTCATGTGTTCCTGATTCTGAAACAGTCTCCATCTCCATTTGGATCTTGCCTCCTATAATGACACAGAATTAAGAGATGTGGGCAAGTAAAGCTTTTATTCAGTGTTATCAAGATTTCATACTTAGGACATAGCCTGAAATTTTAATAAATATAGGGAATGTTCAGATTGTATTTTCCTTTTTTTTTTTTTTTTTTTTTTTTGAGATGGAGTCTCGCTCTGTCCCCCAGGCTGGAGTGCAGTGGCGTGATCTCCGCTCACTGCAAGCTCCACCTCCTGGGTTGTTCACACCATTCTCCCGCCTCAGCCTCCTCAGTAGCTGGGACTATAGGCGCCCGCCACCACGCCCAGCTAATTTTTTGTATTCTTAGTACAGATGGGTTTTCACTGTGTTAGCCAGGATGGTCTCGATCTCCTGACCTCGTGATCCGCCCTCCTCAGCCTCCCAAAGTGCTGGGATTACAGGTGTAAGCCACTGCGCCCAGCCCTGTATTTTCCTTTTTTAAAGAGAGTGTCTCCCTCTGTCACCCAGGCTGGAGTGCAGGGACACAATCATGGCTCGCTGCAGCCTTGACCTCCTGGGCTCAAGTGATCCTCCCACCTCTGCCTCCTGAGTAGCTAGGACTACAGGCACATACCACCATAACTAGCTAATTTTTACACTTTTTGTAGAGACAAGGTCTTGCTATGTTGCCAAGGCTGGTCTTGAACTCCTGGCCACAAGTGATACTCCCATTTTGGCCTCCCAAAGTGCTGGGATTACAGGCTTGAGCCACTGTGCCCAGCCAATGTGTTTTCCAGGTACACTATGGACTCTGGTTTGCATGAGACCAATTCAGAACCACACCACGTGTCATATGTGAAATACTTGGTAGAAATAAAACCTTGCATGGTAAATTATGTAACTAATAAATTATGTAAACAGTGAAATATGAATCAAATGTGAACTTTAAGGAGAAGCCATAACATCGTCAAAACTTTGTATATTTTAGTTTGTATTGTATATCCTTATGAAGTAAAGAAATTATCCTAAGTCACAAAGAGGCCTGGGTGATGTCCTCAGCATCTGAGAGGCAATCTCTCAGTCCTTAAAATGTCATGCCCTAGGAGAGTGTCTTTGTTTGCCTGGAGGTAGTAGGTCTAGTAAGTCACTCTGGACGGTGTAATTCTACGATTTAGGATTATGGGTGGCCACACCTATGAGGAGAATGTGGTGCTCACTATGTGAGAAAGACCAACAATGTGATTTATGGTGAGGCTTTAGGTCATGTGGAATCAGTCAACCAGGAGACTGAGACTACTCATACGGGAAAGAAATCAACCAATAATGGCTATGTAATTAACAGACAACGATTACTCTGAATACCAGGGCTCAGGAAAGCTTCCCTGATAGGCTCTCCTCCCGTCTAATGTCACACCTTAATCTTGGGGATGTAATGCATCCTGATTTCATGGGGAGAGTACAATAAAAAGTTCTCATTTGATACTTCCCTGGACTCTGTCTTACTTGATTTTTCTCCTAATTGTAATATGCATCTTTCCCCTATAAAAACCCATAATTTTAAGAATATGGAACATGAAAATAATTTGGGGAAACCACTGAATTTGTCATTGGTATGCAGTGACAGCAGTCTTCTGTGAGCTGTCACTTTAAACTTTGCAATTGGTTAAGCTCTTCACAATACTAAATATCAAATACCTAGGAGTATTTATGTCTACATTTTCAGAGTATTCCTGTACAAGAATTTTTGCAGAACATGTATAATCTCATTTGTCTGTACTGATATGAACAATAACTTGGTTACCTGAAATAGAAAAGGATCAGAAACCTTCAGTTTTGATGGGAATCTGAAAGGCTGGACCTGACAGAAATACACAAAGGGGGATGATCCTGATGAGACAATGAAAGTTGGTAAGATCACCTGGGATGAAAAGAACGCCTAAGGGGTCATGCCCTGATTGGTTCCATGTGAAGTTATTGGACTGTCTCATTGAAAACAGATAGCAGAAAAAATATGATGTAAAGAAACAGACCTTTATACCCATTTTCAAAATAAACACTACAGACTCTTAGTGAGCTGTAAAATAAATCTGAAACCTTCTAAAAAGCATTTAGGAAAAAGAACCAGAATAGAAATTATCATAGCATCGTGACAAACAGGAAAGGTGCCATTATATGAAATGCCTACTAAAGGTACTCATACACATCTACATGCACAAAATATTTTCATCCTGGTGATGATGAAAGATGTATTTCTTACTATGGCTCATGGTCATAAAACATTGAAAATCTTGGTCAGGATATTACCACATTCTGAATTAAGTAAATCAATCAAATGGAAAGTTAATTTTCAATGGCTGAATCTTAGGAAACATTAGTAAGTAAGTGTGTACCTACTGGTGCACATTAGTACATGGATATAATTAAAACATCATCCCTTATAAATAAGAGATTTTTGGGAAGAAGGAGGAGTCTCTTTCAGGATGTTAACATTTTGAGAGGGCAGTTTCCTGATTCCTTCCAGGATATAAAGTTCACCAGTTCAAAATACAGCACCATGTCTCTATACAAAGAAAAGGAAGACTGTACGAAATCTGTATTCTTTAACATGTTTAACAAATTTGTAAAAAATAAAGATGCAGAAATATATACCACGCTATCAAACAAAGATGACTAGAAATACAGGCAACATTCAGATGTGTGACTTGTGTCACCCTTATCCTCATTCTTCTTTCTCTAGGAGAAGGAAAGAGAAACCGGGGGTTGGTGATGTACATGTACATTGGTGATGTACATTGGAAGAGGCAAACAGGCTGCAGATGGGTAAATCTCTCGAAGGAAAGGTAGCTGGAAAGCTGGTTATTTTCTGAGACATCAGAGAATTGAAAGTTTTTTCCCCTTGTATAGGAGAGCTGTTTCAGAAGGAGACATCAGAATCTTCCTTTGAAAAGGTTTTTTTTGGCTAGGAGTGGTGGCTCATTCCCTGCAATCCCAGCACTTTGGGAGGCCGAGGTGGGCAGATCACCTGAAGTCAGGTATTTGAGACCAGCTTGGCCAACATGGTGAAACTCTGTCTCTACTAAAAAATACAAAAAAATTAGCTGGGCATGGTGGCATATACCAGCTACTTGGGAGGCTGAGGCAGGAGAATCACTTGAACCCGGGACACGGAGGCTACAGTGAGCCGACATGGCACCACTGCACTCCAGTCTGTGTGACAGAGGCAGACTCCGTCTCAAAAAATAAAATAAAATAAAATAAAGAAAGAAAAATAAAATAAAAGGTTTCTTTCCACGGATGAATATTCTCCCTACAAAAAGCTCCAAGACAAGATCATCATGGCGGACGGAAGGCAGGACTAGATTGCAGCTCCAACTCAGACGGACAGTGCGGCATACAGAGTCTCCCATTGCGAATTTTACCTCCAGATCAACTGCAAAAACAAACTAGCAATCCCAAGAGGACCCACAGACCCTCTGAAGGAAGTGGACTGCTCCTGCAGGACCCTGGAGACACCCCAAATACTGTGAGTGCCCCAACTGTGGAAGTGAGAAAAAGCCTCCTCTACTGAACACACACCCTCACTGGAGAAACTGAAGGTCTGTTTGTGGGAGAAGTTTCCGACCTTACCTGGAGCTGAGTCAATTTAGAGAGCTGAGTAAGATACAGGGGTAGACAAAGCAACAGAAAGGCCTTGGGACCTCGTTGGGTCCCTAAGCAGGCCATTCTTGCCTGGCATCACAGGGATCCATCAGGAAGGCAGCCAGAGGAGCAGGGGGTGGGGAACTCCACAAGGAGAAAGAAGTATCCAGCTGAACTTTATAACAGTTTGAACCAGGCAAGAAGCCTCCTGGCCAGAACTTGGGGGAGGGTGTGAATCCAGTGTGCAGACTCACAGGCAGGGGAAGACCCAAGCCCTTTTCTTTTGCAGCTGAGAGGTGGTAGCCTGGGGCAAGGTCTCAAGCCCAGCTTGCCCACTGCCTGGAAACAGACTCAGGGCTGTTAGTGGGGGCATGGTGGGAGTGAGACCGGCCCTTTGGTTTGCATGGGAGCTGGGTGAGGCCTATGACTGCCAGCTTTCCCCTACTTCCCAGACAATTTGCATGACTCAGCAGAGGCAGCCATAATCCTCCTAGGTACACAACTCCAGTAACCTGGGAACCTCACCCACATCCCCTACAGCAGCCACAGCAAGACCCACCCAAGGAGAGTCTGAGCTCAGACACACCTAGCCCTCCCCCTCCCTGATGGTCCTTCCCTACCCACCCTGGTAGCTGAAGACAAAGGGCATATAATCTTGGGAGTTCTAGGGCCTCATCCACCTCTGGCTCCTCTCCATACTACCACAGCTGATGCTCTCTGGAAAGTGCCACCTCCTAGAGGGAGACCAACCAGCACAAAAATAAAGCATTAAACCACCAAAGCTAAGAAACCTCACGGAGTCCATTGCACACCCCCACCACCTCCACTGGAACAGGCGCTGATATCTATGGTTGAGAGACCCACAGACAGTTCATATCACAGGACTCTGTGCAGACAGCCCCCAGTACCAGCCCAGAGCTGGGTAGACTTGCTGGGTAGCTAAACCCAGAATAGAGACAACAATCACGGCAGTTTGGCTCACAGGAGGCCACATCCATAGGAAAAGGGGGAGAGTACTACATCAAGGGAACACCCTGTGGGACAAAAGAATCTGAACAACAGCCTTCAGCCCTAGACCTTACCTCTGACAGAGCCTACCCAAATGAGAAGGAACCAGAAAACCAACTCTGGTAATATGACAAAACAAGGCACTTTAACATCCACCAAAATATCACACTAGTTCACCAGCAATGGATCCAAACCAAGAAGAAATCCCTGATTTACCTGAAAAGGAATTCAGGAGGTTAGTTATTAAGCTAATCAGGGAGGCACCAGAGAAAGGTGAAGCCCAGCACAAGGAAATCCAAAAAATGATACAATAAGTGAAGGGAGAAATATTCAAGGAAATAGATAGCTTAAATAAAAAAAAATAAAAAATTCAGGAAACACTGGACACACTTATAGAAATGCAAAATGCTCTGGAAAGTCTCAGCAATAGAATTGAACAAGTAGAAGAAAGAAATTCAGAGCTTGAAGACAAGTTCTTCGAATTAACCCAATCCAACAAAGACAAAGAAAAAAGAATAAGAAAATATAAACAAAGCCTCAAAGAAGTATGGGATTATGTTAAAGGACCAAACCTAAGAATAATCAGTGTTCCTGAGGAAGAAGAGAATTCTAAAAGCTTGGAAAACATATTTGGGGAAATAATCGAGGAAAACTTGCCCAGCCTTGCTAGACACCTAGACAACCAAATACAAGAAGCACAAAGAACACTTTGGAAATTAATTGCAAAAAGATCATTGCCTAGGCACATTGTCATCAGGTTATCCAAAGTTAAGACGAAGGAAAGAATCTTAAGAGCTGTGAGACAGAAGCACCAGGTAACCTATAAAGGAAAACCTATCAGATTAACAGCAGATTCCTCAACAGAAACCCTACAAGCTAGAAGAGATTGGGGCCCTATCTTCAGCCTCCTTAAACAAAACAATTATCAGCCAAGAATTTTGTATCCACCAAAACTAAGCATCATATATGAATGGAAGATACAGTCTTTTTCAGACAAACGCTGACAGAATTTGCCACTACCAAGCCACCACTACAAGAACTGCTAAAAGGAGCTCTAAATCTTGAAACAAATCCTGGAAACACATCAAAACAGAACCTCTTTAAAGCATAAATCACACAGGACCTATACAACAAAAACACATATTAAAAAGCAAAAACAAAAAAATACAAAAACCAAAGTACACAGGCAACAAATAGCAAGATGAATGCAACGGCACCTCACATCTCAATACTAACATTGAATGTAAATGGCCTAAATGCTCCACTTAAAAGATACAGAACTGCAGAATGGATATGAGCTCACCAACCAACCATCTGCTGCCTTCAGGTGACTCACCTAACATGTAAGGAGTCATATAAACTTAAAGTAAAAGGGTGGAAAAGGCATTTTATGCAAATGGACACCAAAAATGAGCAGGGGTAGCTATTCTGATATCAGACAAAACAAACTTTAAAGCAACAGCAGTTAAAAGAGACAAAGAGGGACATTATATAATGTAAAAGGCCTTGTCCAACAGGAAAATATCATAATCCTAAACATATATGCACCTAACACTGGAACTCCCAAATTTATAAAACAATTACTAATAGACCTAAGAAATGTGGTAGACAGCAACACAATAATAGTGGGGGACTTCAATACCCCACTGACAGCATCAGACAGGTCATCAAGAAAGAAAGTCAACAAAGAAACAAAGAATTTAAACTATGTCTTGCAACAAATGGACTTAACAGATATATACAGAACATTTCATCCAATAACCACAGAATACACATCCTATTCAACAGCATATGGAACTTTCTCCAAGAGAGACCATATGATAGGCCATAAAACGAGCCTCAATTAATTTAAGAAAACTGAAATTATATCAAGCACTCTCTCAGACCACAGTGGAATAAAACTGGAAATCAACTCCAAGAGGAACCTTCAAAACCATGCAAATACATGGAAATTAAATAATCTGCTCCTGAATGACCATTGGGTCAAAAATGAAATCAAGATAGAAATTAAAAAATTATTCAAACTGAAAGACAATAATGACACAACCCATGAAAACCTCTGGGATACAGCTAAGATGGTGCTAAGAGGAAAGTTCATAGCCCTAAATGCCTACATCAAAAAGACTGAAAGAGCACAAACTTACATTCTAAGATCACACCTCAAGGAACTAGAGAAACAAGAACAAACCAAACCCAAACCCAGCAGAAGAAAGGAAAGAACCAAGATCAGAGCAGAAATAAATGAAATTGAAACAAAACAAAACAAAACAAAACAAAACAAAAAATACAAAAGATAAATGAAACAAAAAGCTGGTTCTTTGAAAAGATAAATAAAATTGATAGGCCATTAGCAAGATTACCCAAGAAAATAAGCGAGAAAATCCAAATAACCTCACTAAGAAATGAAACAGGAGATATTACAACTGACACCACTGCAATACAAAAGATCATTCTAGGCTACTGTGAACACCTTTACACACATAAACTAGAAAACCTGGAAGAGGTGGATAAATTCCTGGAAAAATGCAACCCTCCTGGCTTAAATCAGGAAAAATTAGATATCCTGAACAGACCAATAACAAGCCATGAGATTGAAATGGTAATTTAAAAATTACAAACAAAAAAAGTCCAGGACCAGATGGATTCCCAGCAGAATTCCACCAGACACTCAAAGAAGAATTGATACCAATTCTTTTGACGCTATTTCACAAGATAGAGAAAGAAGGAACCCTTCCTAATTCATCCTAGGAAACCAGCATCACCCTAATACCAAAACCAGGAAAGAACATAATCAAAAAAGAAAACTACAGACCGATATCCTTGATGAACATTGATGCTAAAATCCTTAACAAAATACTAGGTAACTTAATCCAACAACATATCAAAAAGATAATCCATCATGATCAAATGGGTTTCATGCCAGGGATGCAGGGATGGTTTAACATACCCAAGTCAATAAATGTGATACACCACATAAACAGAATTAAAAATGAAAATCACTTGATCATCTCAATAGATGTAGAAAAAGCATCTGACAAAATCCAGCAACGCTTTATGATTAAAACTCACAAAATCGGCATACAAGGGACATACCTCAATGTAATAAAAGCCATCTATGACAAACCCACAGCAAACATAACACTGAATAGGGAAAAGTTGAAAGCATTCCCTCTGAGAACTGGAACAAGACAAGAACATCTGCTCTCACCACTCCTCAACATAGTACTGGAAGTCCTAGCCAGAGCAATCAGACAAGAGAAAGAAATAAGGGGCACCCAAATCGGTAAAGAGGAAGTCAAACTGTCACTGTTCGCTAATGATATGATCATCTACATTGAAAATCCTAAAGACTCCTCCAGAAAGCTCCTGGAACTGATAAAAGAATTCAGCAAAGTTTCTGGATACAAGATTAATGTACACAAATCAGTAGCTCTTCTACACACCACCAGCAACCAAGCAGAGAATCAAATCAAGAACCCAACCCCTATTATAATAGTTGCAAAAAAAATCAAATACTCAGGAATACACCTAACCAAGGAGTCAAAAGACCTCTACAAGGAAAACTACAGAATGCTGCTGAAAGAAATCATACATGACACAAACAAATGGAAACACATCTCATGCTCATGGATGGGTGCAATCAATATTGTGAAAATGACCATACTGCTAAAAGCAATCTACAAATTAAATGCAATCCCTATCAAAACATCACCATCATTCTTCATAGAATTAGAAAAAAAATGCTAAAATTCATACGGAACCAAAAAAGAGCTCGCAGAGCCAAAGCAAGACTAAAGCAAAAAGAACAAATCTGGAGGCATCACACTAACTGATTTCAAACTATACTATAAGACCATAGTCACCAAAACAGCATGGTACTGGTATAAAAATAGGCACATAGACCAAAGGAACAGAATAGAGAACCCAGAAATAAACCCAAATCCTTACAGCCAATTGATCTTCGACAAAGCAAACAAAAACATAAAGTGGGGGAAAGGACACCCTTTTCAACAAATGATGCTGGGATAATTGGCTAGCCACATGTAGGAGAATGAAACTGGATCTTCATCCCTCACCTTATACAAAAATCAATTCAAGATAGATTAAGGACTCAAATCTAAGACCTGAAACTATAAAAATTCTAGAAGGTAACATTGGAAAAATCCTTCTAGACATTGGCTTAGGCAAGGATTTCATGATCAAGAACCCAAAAACAAATGCAATAAAAACAAAGATAAATAATTGGGACCTAATTAAACTAAAGAGCTTTTGCACAGCAAAAGGAACAGTCACCAGAATAAACAGACAACCCACAGAGTGGGAGAATATCTTTACAATCTGTACATCTGACAAAGGACTAATATCCAGAATCTACAACAAACTCAAACAAATCAGTAAGAAAAAAACCAAACAACCCCATCAAAAAGTGGGCTAAGAACATGAATAGACAATTTTCAAAAGAAGATATAGATGGCCAACAAACATATTTTAAAAAGCTCAAAATCACTAATGATCAGGGAAATGCAAATCAAAACCACAATGCGATACCACCTTACTCCTGCAAGAATGACCATAATCAAAAATCAAAAAAACAGTAGATGTTGGCATGGATGTGTTGTTCAGGGAACACTTCTGCACTGCTGGTGGGAATGTAAACTAGTACAGCCACTATGGAAAACAATGTGGAAATTCCTTAAAGAACTAAAAGTAGAACTACCATTTGATCCAGCAATCCCACTACTGGGTATCTATCCAGAGGAAAAGAAGTCATTACACGAAAAAGATACTTGCACATGCATGTTTACAGCAGCACAATTCAAAATTGCAAAATCGTGGAACCAACACAAATGCCCATCAATCAACGAGTGAATAAAGAAAACTGTGGTATTATATACAATGGAATACTACTCAGCCATAAAAAGGAATGAATTAATAGCATTTGCAGCAACCTGGATGAGACTGGAGACTATTATTCTAAGTGAAGTAACTCAGGAATGGAAAACCAAACATCATATATTCTCACTGATATGTGGGAGCTAACCTACGAGGATGCAAAGGCATAAGAATGAGACAATGGCCTGTAATCCCAGCACTTTGGGAGGCCGAGGCGGGTGGATCACGAGGTCAGGAGATCGAGACCATCCTGGCTAACACGGTAAAACCCGTATCTACTAAAAATATAAAAAAAATTAGCAGGGCATCGTGGCGGGCGCCTGTAGTCCCAGCTACTTGAGAGGCTGAGGCAGGAGAATGGCGTGAACCTGGGAGGCGGAGCCTGCAGTGAGCCGAGATGGCACCACTGCACTCCAGCCTGGGCAACAGAGCGAGACTCTGCTTAAAAAAAAAAAAGAGAGAAATGGACTTTGGGGACTTGCGGGAAAGAGTGGGAGGAGGGCGAGAGACAAAAGACTACAAATATGGTGCAGCATATACTGCTCGGGTGATGAGCGCACCAAATTCTCACAAGTCGCTAAAGAACTTATGTAACCAAATATCACCTATACCCCAATAACTTGTGGAAAATTTTTAAAAAATAAAAATAAAAACATAAAGCTCCAAGACAAGTCAGAGAGAAGGCATAATACTCAGTGTGGCCATAAAAAGAACACTTAGAAGTTTCCATGGGATGTAGGTGAACTGCACATACCTAAAAATAGTATCCCAACAAGGAATCCTAAGAAAGTTCTAATTAGATAGGCAGCCATCAAAAGACAGAAACATGTTCTGCAATAGCTCTCATTCACTCTAGTTTGTGTATCACTTATTAGCTATCTATCTCCATGATTCCTGGAGACACTGAAGTTCCCCTCATCCATTAATTTATTTATCAGGATAACAAATAATTAGATACCTGCCATGTACCAGAACAATACCTTCTAGCCTGTGAATAGACAGCCATGAGCAAAACAGCTAAAATTCATCCTCTTAGACATCACATTCCTGGGGGTAAAAGTGACAGGTAAACAGAAATATATAAGACACAGTGCAAGACAGCACAAGAAGAAAAAAATAGAACAGTGTTTTGTTTGTTTTTTTGAGACAGAGTCTTACTTTGTCACCAAGGCTGGAGTGCGGTGGCGCCATCTCGGCTCACTGCAACCTCCGCTTCCTGGGTTCAAGTGATTCTCCTGCCTCAGCCTCCCGAGTAACTGAGACTACAGGCACACACTACCACGCCTGGCAAATTTTGTATTTTTAGTAGAGATGGGATTTCACCATGTTGGCCAGGCTGGTCTCAAACTCCTGATCTCAGTGATCCACCCACCTTGGTCTCCGAAAGTAGTGGGATTACAGGCGTGAGCTACCGCGCCTGGCCTAGAATAGTATTTTAAATAGGGTGGTTGGAAATGGCCTCTCTAAAACTGAACAGAGACTTGAATATGCTTAAAGGAGAAGCCAGAAAGTTTTGAGGTGAAAGAGTATTCTGATCAGACAGAAAAGCAAGTAAGGGCTCTGAGGCAGAAGCTTCAGTAGTAGACAGAACAATGATTCATAAAAGATGTCCACATCCAGTACCCAAGACCTATGAACATGTTATATTACACAGCAAGGGGGACTGGGATTGCAGATGCAATTAAGGTCACTAATCAGCTAACAAGAAAGAGAGGTCATTGTGAATCATCCAGGGGTAACCAACACAATTACAAGGAACCTGAAAGGCAGGAGAGAGAGGCATAAGAAGAGTGGCAGAGTGAGCATGACTATGGAAGAAGGGTCAGAAATGCAAAGTAGCTGCCTTTGAAGATGGAGGAAGGGAAACAAGAGCCAAGGAATGCCTAGAGACTGGTAAACCAAAATAAAGGCTTCTCCTCAAGAGCATCCAGAAAGAAACAAACACCTACAGACAGCTTGATAATTGTCCGGTGAGACGTGTCAGACTTCAGGCCTAAAGAACAGAAAGATGATAAATTTTTGTTGTTTAGTCGACTAAATGTGTGGTCATTGGTTACTACAACAGGCAATACAGTGTCCTTGGCAGGTCAGAGAAACGGTAGGGAGGACAACGTGGCTGGAAGGACAAGGCAAAAGGGAGAGGACAGGAGATGTAGTCAGAGAGGTGGTGGGGGATGAAAAGCAGATCACATGGTCTCTAAAAGGCACTTAAAACACTTGTAACTTAAGTAAACATAAGAAGCCAGCCGGGCGCGGTGGCTCACGCCTGTAATCCCAGCACTTTGGGAGGCCAAGGCGGGCGGATCACGAGGTCAGGAGATCGAGACCATCCTGGCTAACACGGTGAAACCCCGTCTCTACTAAAAATACAAAAAATTAGCCGGGCGTGGTGGCGGGCATCTGTATTCCCAGCTACTCAGGAGGCTGAGGCAGGAGAATGGCGTGAACCCGGGAAGCGGAGCTTGCAGTGAGCCGAGATTGCACCACTGCACTCCAGCCTGGGCGACACAGCGAGACTCCATCTCAAAAAAAAAAAAAAGAAGCCAGAAAGGCTTTTGAGCCGAGGAATGGCAGTCTGACTTTCCTAAGGAATACATTGGCTGCCATGAGGAAAACAGATGTCAGGGTGGGAAAAGTGGGAGCAGGGAAACCAGCCGAAAGTCAGCTGTAATAATTCAGGAAAGAGGTCTGGCCATTTAGACCAGGACAACAGAGCTGGGCAATGGACAGAAGTGAAACCGATGGGAGAGTCACGCACAAGGACACAGAGTTGCTTGCTTCTTACCTAAATTCCCTTCTCTTTGGGTTGCTGTCTCCATCATCCAAAACTTTTCTTCCTTTAGGAAGTGGAAAGTATCTCTGTGGAGTGATTGATGCCCTGTGAACGTGAAAAGTCATGTGCTTAGTGCCAATATATCCTAGAAAAAAATCTAAGTAAAATTTACTGGAAACTTAGGTTCCCAATGCATACTCAAACTTGAACACTCTAGGATACAAAGCCACTCCTGGTCCTGATGTTCCCTTACAAAGGGTGCCTGTCCTCACCCACTGAGAGCAGGTTCCTGAAGTTCTCCAGCATCACTTCTCGGTACAGTTTCCTCTGGGCAAGGTCCAGCAGCCTCAGCTCTTCCTCAGTGAAGACCACAGCCACGTCCTTGAAGGTCACTGCCTCCTACAGCATCGAACATATGCAACCTCAGTCTCATGACCAATGACTACTGAGAGAGGGGTGGCACTGAGCAGACAGAGGGGAGGAATGAGAAGCTGTTTTGGATCTTGAGAGACATAGGTCAACACACAGACTTCCTTTTTTATTATTTTATTTTATTTATTTATTTATTTTGAGACAGTCTTGCTCTGTTGCCCGGGCTGGAGTGCAGTGGCATGATCTTGGCTCACTGCAACCTCCGATTCCCAGGTTCAAGTGATCCTCCCGCCTCAGCCTCCCAAGTAGCTGGGATTACAGGTGCCTGCCACCATGCCTGGCTAATTTTTGTATTTTTAATAGAGATGGGGTTTCACCACATTGGCCAGGCTGGTCTCAAACTCCTGACCTCAGGTGATCCGCCTGCCTCGGCCTCCCAAAGTGCTGGGATTACAGGCATGAGCCACTGCGCCCAGCCAGCTCATAGATTTGCTATTCATTCTGTCTGTATCCTGATAATGATGGATTTTCCTGAGCTCCACCAGAAGTGCAGTGATGGAAAAGACCTCCTGTAGGTTTACTTTGTGCACTTACTGAGTCTCCTTGTAAGTAACCCTGTAGGACTCTAAATGCAGCATCCTGGGCTGCACGTATATAGGTTTCAGTGAATCTTGCCAACTGCCCCAGTAACATTTAACAATTCAGTCCCAGTCTTGCCTGATAATTCCCATTGTTCTCTCTCATACTTGAACCCTGAATGTTATCATTTTTCTTTAATATCTGCCACCAAACTAACAAAGCTTGTGGTAACCTGTGTGGGACAGCTATACAGTACATCCTGTGTACTCTCAAGGCATAAACTACATACATTGATTGCAGCATTGATCTATGATCTGCAGACAGTGTGCCTAAAAGCACATCCCAAGGCTCTGTGCCTTCCTGGTCACATGACCTTGGACAAGTTCACCTATTTACTCCCTCTCTAATAATTTTCATATTATAGTTTTTTCAATGATTAAACAAGGAAATACATGCAGCATTGGGAAAGTTGATCAGTGCAGACTAAATACCTAATAAACACTAGCTTTTTAAAATTTTTTTTATTATTATTGTCATTGTTGCCATCTATTTTATCTCATTTCATGTCTGCATAGTATTCCAAAGAATTGATAATCTATTTTTATCTACTCTAAATAATCTTTAATTTTATATATGCTCATTAATACCAATCCTGTAAAAAAAAACATTTTGGGTAGATTTTACTACTGTTTATTTAAAATAATTTTAAATGAAAATTAAAATGTCAATAAATAGGCATATTTAAAATTGTGATCATATAATATCAGGTCTCAATTTTTTACCAAACCCTAATCTTTCAAGAGGATACGTGTACACTGATTTGTCTTACCATAACCAAGAGCAGGTTATCAATTTTCCCATGATTTTTGTAATCATATTAGGAAGAATTTAACAGTCTCACTTATTTGATTATAAATAATACCATCACCTTTTCAAATATTTATTGGCCATCTCAATTTCTCCTTTTAAACTTGCCTGTTAATGTCTTTTATTCACATTCCTTTGGATTTTCTTTTTCTATTCTGTACATAAGATTCTTATTTTGGATTTTATCTGTTTCAAATATACAAGTAGTGAATATTTTTGCTCTAGGCTGTTATATTTTCTGGTAACATTGTGTGAGGTACCCTTTACCATACTGAAAGTAAAGATTTTCTATCATGACTATGGTTATCACTGTCCTTGGGTGCCTGGAGCACTGGGTGCATCTGAGTAGGTGTCATGTCAGGAAGAAAGAAGATCACCCCAAAATGGTGCCTGGGAGGAGCAGTGCCACCTGTGGACGCTGGCTCTCGTGTTGGCACAACACAACAGGCTATAACTGCTTAACTGCTGCTTCACACAAGGATTATTGGAGGTGTTCACACGGGAAGAGCTAGATTCTGTTTGTCCCATGCTATATCTCTGTTGTACTCCCTAAGTCTTCCCAAGACTGAGAAGAACCTGTGAGAATATGAGTAGTGAGAAGAAATACGGCCGGGCACGGTGGCTCACATCTGCAATTCCAGCACTTTGGGAGGCTAAGGCAGGCAGATCACCTGAGGTCAGGAGTTTGAGAACAGCCTGGCCAAGATGATGAAACCCCGTCTCTACTAAAAATACAAAAATTTTCTGGGTGTGGTGGTGTGTGCCTGTAGTCCCAGCTACTTGGGAGGCTGAAGCAGGAGAATCACTTGAACTCCGGAGGTGGAGGTTGCAATGAGCCAAAATCAGGCCACTGCACTCCAGCCTTGGCGACAGAACAAGTCTCCATAAAAGAAATTTTAACAGCAAGAGAGGCAAGCTCTACTCACCTTCAACGTGGTCATTTTTCCTCCTATTTCAGGGAATATTCAGAGTCCTGAGTGATACAGTCCAAGGGAAAGCAGAATCCTGCCTGGAAAGTACCAGGGAAGGCAGAAAAAGAGACATGAAAGTGTGGCCAGGGATGCCATCCACCAACACGAATGTGTATTGTAAATTAACACATGAATGTTCCCAACAGCATCATTCATAGTAACCCAAAACTGCACACCAACAAACTCCCTCCTATGCGTACATGGATAGACAAATTGTGGCCTATCCATACAATGGAATCTTATTTGGAAATTAAAAGGAATGAAGTACTGATTCATGCTACAACACGCATGAACTTTGGAAACATTATGCTAAGTGAAAGAAGCCAGTCACATAGGAAGGCCCACATATTGCATGATCCTATATCTATGAAATTCCAGAGTAGGCAAGTGTATATAACGAGAAAGTAGATAGGTGGTCTCTGCATATTTGAGGTGACAAAGAGGATTAACTATAAGTGAGCACAAGGAGGCTTAATGGGGGATGAAAATTATTTAAACTGAATTATGGTGATGTTTATTCCACTCCACAAAGTTCCTAAAAATCATTAAAGTGTACACACGAAATGGGTAGTTTCTATGATATGTAGAATACACCTCAATAAAGTTGGACAAAGCATTGGTAATTGTTCATCCACATGTCATTTAACTTAATAAGACTGGATTCTGGATCTACACTGATAGAATATTTATAGTTGAATGAATGAATAAGCAAATGAAGGAGAAGGGAGAGTTCACCTTTACAGTAGAATGTGCACTAATAAATGTATTTCTCCTTACAAAATTTTATTTAACTAAAAAATTAGGGAGTGTATATTGAGAGCAACTTGAATCTGTGTTCCTGGGGTAAAAAAAAAAATTCAAAATAATTTTACAATGCGGAAATCTGACAAACATGACTTTAGCCAAGTGAACAAAGTTGAGATCACCAATGAAGTGACAAACTGACATATGGCCCCTGTTATGTTGCAATAAGAAATTTACCACTTCAGGCTGGGCACGGTGGCTCATGCCTGTAATCCCACACTTTGGGAGGCCAAGGCGGTTGAATCACCTGAGGTCAGGAGTCTGAGACCAGCCTGGCCAACATGGTGAAATCCCTTCTCTACTAAAAATACAAAAATTAGCCGGATGTGGTGGCAGGCACCTGTAATCCCAGCTACTTGGGAGGCTGAGGCAGGAGAATAGCTTGAACCCAGGAGGTGGATGTTGCAATGAGCTGAGATCGTGCCATGCACTACAGCCTGGGCGACAAGAGCGAAACTCCGTCTCAAGAAAAAAAAAGAGAGAGAGAGATTTACCACTTCTGTGGTATTCCAGCAAAAAATGCATATTTTGAAGTTAAACGTGAAATACATCAGAAAAACTCCAAATGAACATCTTTGACCAAAATAACTTCATCTATACTCTTCAAAAATAACAAGGATAAAATACCAAGAAAAAACGATGAAAGCTATGCTATCTTTCAAGATTAAAGACTAGAAAAACATGACAACTGAAAGCAACACCCATGCCCGAAGACACATCCTATACACTCTCGGTTGGGGTGAGCATCTCTGTCAAAGAAAAAAGCCAAGGATCACTCACGTAGAGCTTTGCCCTCAGAAGCCAAGAAGTCCCTCCCTGCAGCTCTTTTGGAAAGGTCGGGCTGGGTAAGGAGAAGGCTGTGAAACACTCTGACCGTGGTCGCCGTGCCCCATAAAAGTTAAATGCTCCTCTCCCCTCCTGGAAGTGGATGCAACCCTCGCCTTCCTAAAAGAGAGGTCAGAAGGCGTCCGGGATCACCCAGCGTCTTGCAGGAATCAGGGAGAAGGGCCGGTGCCCCTGCAGCTGGAGTTTCACCCCACCCGGGGACCTGACAGGCTTCGTGGGAAATTAACAAGAGACCACCAGTCACCAAGTGACAGGGGCTGCTTTAAGGCTCTCATTTGTGTTACCGCTTTCAGTTCCCAAAACGATTCTATTAGGATGGTCCTAAACTCCCCATCTTAAAGAACTGTAACGGGAGACCCAAGGAGATTAAGTAACATCCCAGCGTTTTATCGCGAGGAAGTGGCCACGCGCGTGGGGTGCAGGGAGGCCGAGTGGGCGAGCTCAGAGCCCCGGAGACCCTAAAACCAGGCGAGACGCGACCCGACCAAGTCCCAAACACCCCGGGGACGCGAGGAGAGCCCCAAGCCCAAGAAGGCTCCACTGACGAGAACGAAAACAGCGGCCCCGCTCCGCCAAACCTCTGCTCTCCGACGAGGTTTCTTTTCCCCTAATTCGATCACCAGTTCGTTAAGGATCCAATGCGTAGGTCCAGGAAATTCAGAAGGGTCTCGCGGAACTGACCCAAACTACCAGGGACAAAACTGCAGCAACCTCACAGTAACGGAGCGGAAGTGGCCCGCTACTCCACTGAGTGTCTGGACTCCACTTCCCAGAATTCCTGAGACAAACTGACCGCGACGACCCCGAGCGTCTGGACTACACTTCCCAGAATTCCCTGGGATCCACCTGCCGGAGTCAAATTGACCGAGACTCCACTGAGCGTCTGGACTACATTTCCCAGAAATCCCCTGATTCGCCTGCCGGAGCCAAGCTGACCGCTACTCCACTGAGCGTCTGGACTACCATTCCCAGAATTGCTTGTATCCTCCTTCTGGAGCCAGTGTGTACGACTCCACAGAGCATTTGGATTACACTCCTCCGAATGCTGAAGGAAAAACGCTCAAAATCTCATTCTTCAGGGGGAAGCGTTGCCACTCCGAGGTGCCCACTGGGAACGAATCCCAAAGCCACGAGCGCCTGCCTAGTGGGGAATGTGAACTGTTATCCTGAGAGTCGTCCTTCTCTCTCCCTGGTCCAGGACAGAAAATACTGAATAGACAGGAATTTCTGAAGTCTAAACGCCTCCAATGATAACAGGAGTGTTATTGGAAAGGGAACAAGCGAGAAGACACAGTCTTCGAGGAGTTAAGTTTTGCTAATCTAATGGTAAGAAATGGTTTCTAAATGTAGTTTTAATTTGTATTTGTTCTTTTGTAAATAAAGTGGAACATCCGTGCATATTTTCCGTTGCCACTATTATAGTCTTTGTGAATTGGTCAAATAGTTTGCCCACATTTCTATTGAGTGTTTAGTTTTTTCCCCTCCGTTAAGTATTATTTACATACTCATATTAACATTGTATCAAATATTGCTCAACCAAAAAGCTTTTTTCCTTTGACTTGTTTTTCGCTATGCAAAACGTTTTTAACGTGGTCGTTTTATTATTTAAAAAATATTTTTGAGGTGTAATTCACAAAACAAAATTATTTTAAGGCACATAATTCAATGGCAATGGCATCTAGTACGAATACAGTGTTGTTAATATATACGAGTTAAGAAGCCATCACTTAGGCAGATAGGGTATGGGAGCCCTCGGTAAGGCTTTTCTTTTTAATGAAAAGCAGCCCCAAATTATTTCCCTTCCTAAGGAAGAGCAGCCTGTAAAATCCAGCTGCCGCAGACATAGATACCAGCAGTTGTGCCAATCATGTTAAAGATGGCGGCTCCATCTTCCCTTCTCTTTGTCAGCCACGTGCACAGTAAGAAGCTGGCAAGATGGGCCAATCAACTGGGAAGCCTATTTGCATAAGAAGATTAGGGTGGGGCGACCAGCCTTCCCCACGCACTATGTAAACGTCATAACTGATCGAACCAATCTATGACCCCTATGTAAATCAGACACTGCCTCCTCAAACTGGTCTGTAAAACTCAGCACATTCACTGCCAGCCGACCCTTTTCCGCTCGGAGACCCCTTCCTCTATGGAGGAACCCGTTTCTCTTTCTCTTCTTCCTATTAAACCTCCGCTCCTAAACTGAGGAGTTTTTGTGTGTCCGTGTCCTAAATTTTTCTGGCGCTTAACGACGAACCCCGGGTTTAAACCTCAGACAAAGTAGCTGCTTCATTGTGAAACCACCACCTCTTGAATTACAAAACATTTTTATCACCCAAAGAAAACCCCATGCCCACTAAGCAATCACTACTGTTGTCCATAATCCCATTCCTGGGGAAACATGAATCTTTCTCTCTTTTCTATTACCTATTTTGGACAAATCATAAAAATGAATGGAACATTTTGTTTCTAACTCCCTTTGCTTAGCATAATATTTTTAATGTTATTCACATCATACCACGTATCAGTACTTCATTCCTTTTCATAGATGAATATTTTATGTTTATACTACAATTTGTTTCTCCATTCATACATTGACGCACATTTGGCTTCTTTTCACCTTTTGGCTGTAGTGAACAGTGTTGCTACAAATGTTCGTGTATACGTATTTGTTTCATTACCAGCTTTCAGTTTTGGTTGTTTTTTGTTTGTTTTTTGTTTTGAGAGGGAGTTTCGCCTCCCGCGTTCAAGCGATTCTCCTGCCTCAGCCTCCAGCGTAGCTGGGATTACAAGCATGTGCCACCACGCCCGGCTAATTTTGTATTTTTAGTAGAGAGGGGGTTTCTCCATGCTGGTCAGGCTGGTCTCAAACTCCCGACCTCAGGTGATTCACCCGCCTCGGCCTCCCAAAATGCTGGGATCACAGGCGTGAGCCACCGCGTCCAACCGTGTATTCCACTTCTTTCTGCTGCTGAGACACAATAATTTCAGATGACTTCTCTTTATATTCACTCATTCTGAATACAGCAAGAGTAGGGAGATGAATATTAGGTGCACTTACCTGTGGCTTCAGAGCCTGCACAAACACAATCTCATATATACCACTTCCAAATGGAATACTAATCTGCACATGTAACTTAAAAAGGTGCAGGGGTCAACACCCGATTCATGATGGAAAGCATAAGTCACATGTTAATTTGGTGGTCTGTGGTCAAGTGTTCTGTCCGTTTTAAGACCCCTAGTGGCCGGGCGTGGTGGCTCACACCTGTAATCCCAGCACTTTGGGAGGCCAAGGCGGGTGGATCACGAGGTCAGGAGTTTGAGGCCAGCCTGGCCAAGATGGTGAAACCCCGTCTCTACTAAAAATACAAAAATCAGCCGGGTGCGGTGGCGGGGCACCTGCAATCCTAGCTACTCGGGAGGCTGAGGCAGGAGAATCGCTTGAAACCGGGAGGCAGAGGTTGCAGTGAGCCAAGATTGCACCACTGCACTCTAGCTTGGGCCACAGAGCAAGACTCGTCTCAAAAAACAAAAACAAAAACAAAACAAAACAAAACACCCTAGCAAAATGAAAAGCTTCTTCTCCAGAGGAGAGTAAGTATATGCAGAGGATGGCAGAAATTTGCTTCAAAATACTAAGCATCTGAATTTTGATTCTCCAATTAGGGCCAACCATAGGCTTCAAACATACTATCTGCCACGGACATTTCAAACACTTTTGGACCCCCGGGGTCACAGGGTTTTAGTGGCAGAGAAGCTTACGTGGAAGCTGGGACATATTACACAAACTTCTCTTGTCTGGGACAAGTCAAAGTTTTTGGGTCACTCATAAAAGTCAGAGTAGCACAATCGAAACAATAAGTTGCATCCAATATCAAAAATGGCACACTAAGCATTGTGACATTTTCTTTGCTTGTAGGGGGGTGATAAGCCCTATTTGTTCTATACCTTAGAAAATATATCACTTTAACTTAACACACTTAAGATATTACTATGGTGTATACCTGATGAATTAACATCTGACAATAGTTTGAATATGTATCCCCTCCAAATCTCATGTTGAAGTATGACCTCCAGTGTTGGAGGTCGGGACTATTGGAAGGTGCTTGGTCATGGAAGCAGATCCTTCATAAACATTGGTGTCCCCACCATGGTAATGAATGAGTTCGCACTCTTAATTCACACAAGAGCTGGTTGTTTAAAAGATCGTGGCATAAAAAAATTAAAAATGCATGGAAGTATAAAATGGAAAAATGCCTGCAAACACTCATTGCCAGCAAAGATCAGTAAAAATATTCATTTACACAGTATGTAAACACTCAAAAGAACATAAAACACACAAAGATATTTATTTGATTAGGTTATGAAGGCTAAAAAAAGCCACATTGTTTTTCTCCTTTTGTTATTGTGTCTATGTCATCATCTCATTGAGTTCATATTATTATAGGAATAAATGCAATTCACACAAATTCCTGTTCTTGAACACTTGTTCTTTCCATTTTAAAATGCAGTGACATCATCAATGTGGTCTTCTACTTTTTGGAGTTTTAGTGTCATAGGCATAGTTTCCTATCCTATGGTTTTCATATCAAACAGTTGCACCTTATACATTCTGGCATGTTCTGCTCTCCAAAAGACATATTTTTACTGCCAGCAATAAAGAGGAGGATTTAAATGTTACTCCTGCCCCCAATAATGAATATATTTGATGAAATTACCAAACTCCATTTTCTCTTCCTGTTTCATAGCGTTGGTGGAAGAATATTGGATAAGAAGGTTGACAAAAGCTGTCATTCAAATTTAGAATATTTTATACCAGAGAAGTTAAAAAAAAAAAAGAAATTGTACAGCAATTAAAAGGCAATCATACCAAGGCCTGCATAGAAATCACAAATCATGATCAATCTAGGATTGACTAAGAAAATTTCTGTCAATGTACATCTGGCACTTTAAAAGTGTTACTGTAAATCTTGCCTTAATACTGTTGAAAACACTTAATTGTGAAATATGCAGTGGTCTGTTATTGCAAAATTAACCAAACCTTTTCAGTCTATACTGTGAGAAAAACTACAAAAGATAATTAAATTTATACCGTATACAAGCAATGGACATTTCATAGAGCCACAAATAATACTCTGACTTCAGAGCACAGGATGGGGGGAAGCCAGGAGCCAAGTGCAATAAAATAATGTTCAATGAATATGATAAATCTGATCAAGAAAAAAATTTAAAAGAAAAAATAATAATATGCAAAATATTGCTATGGATTGCAGTACTGAGTTTACTCTGCATTTCAACTCATGTTTCCCAGAATTATTTTTTGCAGGCTTCCCTTTTTGGATACACAAAATTGTATCCAAATCCATACATATGTTTTATCCTTTCATTGATTTAACAAACAAGTACTGAACACATACAAAGTGCTAATCAATGTTAAGGCTGTGACGACTTAGCAGCAAAGACACATGTAGTTTACATTCTAGTGGACATCAATTTGGACATGTCCACCATTAGTCTGGTAAATTCATGAACTCTTACTCTTTCTAAGGCCTGTCTCCTGAATGATAGCTGTAATTATCAAACTTCTGAATGAAGCTTTATTGCACCATTTACAAGGATTCTCCATTATGGTGGTCCTGAGACTACTGGGGCATGCTGAGCTATGGCTGAAGCACTGATGTTATCTTAAACAAATGTTTTCCCTCTTCCAAGAATGGGTGAAATTTATCACCAGCATGGATTCAGAGATAAAATACTCAAAGGGAAGTGCTTACTATGTGCCTCATATTTTAATGTGTCTCTCCTTTGTGAACTTTCAGATGAGACTGCATTCATGAAGACTGAGTGAAGACTTTATTGCACCATCACATCACTAAGGTTTTTCTCCAACATGAACATTCTGATGAAGTCGAAGGCTTGAGGCCTGACTAAAGCACATATCACACTCCCTACACTTCCATGTTTTCTCTCCCATGTGGACCCTCTGATGCATATCAAGATTCAAGCGCCTGTTGTAGCCCTTCCCACAGTCCTCACATTTGTATGGCTTTTCTACACTGTGAACTTTTTCTTGCACTTTAGAGAATGAATTCTGTACAATGTTCTTCCCATGCTGCTCACATTTGAGAGGTGTTTCTCTGCTGTGGCGTCTCTGATGGGTCAGACGAGTTGAGGACCAGCTGAAGCCCTTCCCACACTCATCACATTTGTATGGCTTTTCTCCAGTGTGCACTCTTTGATGAGAATGAAGCTGTGAATTCTGAGTAAATCTTTTCCCACACTCTTCACATTTGAATGGTTTTTCTCCACTGTGCAGTCTCTGATGTTTCAAAAGACACGAGGCCCAGCCAAAACTCTTCCCACATTCCTTACAATTGTATGGTCTCTCTCCTGTGTGGACCTTCTGGTGCATATCAAGATTAAACTTACTATTGTAGCCCTTTCCACACTTCTCACATTTGTATGGCTTTTCTCCAGTGTGAACTCTCTGATGGGAATGAAGATGTGAATTTTGAGTAAATCTCTTCCCACACTCTTCACATTGGAATGGTTTTTCTCCACTGTGGAGTCTCTCATGTTTCAAAAGACATGGGGCCCGACTAAAGCTCTTCCCACATTCCTTACAATTATACAGTTTCTCTCCTGTATGGACGCGCTGGTGAAAGTCAAGATCCAACCTCCTTTTGTAGCCCTTCCCACACTCCACACATTTGTATGGTTTTTCTCCACTATGGGATCTCTGGTGGGAATAGCATTGTGAATTTGTGTAAAATCCTTTCCCACATTCTTCACATTTGAATGGTTTTTCTCCACTGTGGACTCGCTGATGTTTCAAAAGACACGAGGCCCATCTGAAGCTCTTCCCACACTCTTTACAATTATATGGCTTTTCTCCCGTGTGGACCATATGATGCGTATAAAGATCTCGCCTACAAATAAAGCCTTTTCCACACTCCTCACATTTGTATGGTTTCTCTCCTGTGTGGATCATGCGATGACTATTAAGTGCTGATCTCTGACGAAAGCTCTTATCACACGTATCACATCGGAATGGTTTCTCTGCCGTGTGAACCATGGAATGCCTATTAAGTCTTGATCTACCACAGAAGCTCTTACCACATATATCACATTTGAATGGCTTCTCCCCCGTATGGATTCTCTGATGTTCTTGAAGCTGGGAATCGTGAATGAAGGCCTTCCCGCATTCCTCACAATTATAAGGTTTCTCTCCTGTGTGTAATTTATGATGAACATTAAGTGCTGATCTACGACTGAAGCCTTTCCCACATTCCACACATTTGAACGGTTTCTCTCCAGTGTGGACTCTCTGATGAGTTTGCAGATGTGAACTCTGACTGAATTCCTTACCACACACGTCACACTTATAGCATTTCTCTCCCATGTGGACTCTCTGATGAATACGAAGGGCTGAGATGTAACAAAAGTTCTTTCCACACTCATCACACGTATGAGATTTCTCTCCTGAGTGTAATTGTTGATGAAAATCAAAGTGGGAGACATCACTGAAGGATGGTTTATATCCATTGCCCTGGGAAGATTTCTGTCTTGTGTGAATTACAGATAGTCCTGCCTCAGTCTGGCAGGGGAAATCACCTTCTTTGGAGAACTGAGAGCTATTTATCATCAAGTCTTGAGACCTGGTTAAATCACTTGCAATTTTTTCCCAGATTTGCTGGAAGGACCACTCTTGATGTGTTCCTGCTTCTGAAACAGTCTCCATCTCAGTTTGGATCTTGTCTCCTATCAGAATACAGAATTAAAAGATGAGGACAAGTGAAGCCTTTGTTCAGTGTTATCAAGATTTCACTTAGGCCATGGCAGGAAACTCTCATGAGTATAGACAACATTCAGTTTGTATTTTTCAAGTGCACCATAATCTTTGGTTTGGATGAGGCCAATTTCGAACTAAACCAAGTATCATATGTAAAATACTTGATAGAAATAAAAGACGAAAAACAATAGATGTTGACATGGGTGTGGTGAGAAGAAACGCTTATACACTGCTGCTGGTGTGAATGTAAATTAGTACAACCTCTATGAAATACAGTATGGAGATTCTCTAAAGAACTAAAAGTGGATCTACCATTTGATCCAGCAATCCCACTACTATCTACCCAAAGGAAAAGAAGTCCTTACATCAAAAGGACACCTGCATGCCTATATTTATTACAGCACAATTCACAATTTCAAAGATATGGAACCAACCTAAGTGCCCATCAACCAATGAGTGGATAAAGAAAATATGGTATATATTCACCAGGGAATACTATTCAGCCATAAAAAAATGAAATAATGTCTTTTGCAGCAACTTGGATGGAGCTGGAGGCTATTATTCTAAGTGAAGTAACTCAGGAATGGAAAACCAAATACCGTGTTTTCACTTATAAGTGGGAGTTAAGCTATGGGTATGCAAAGGCATACAGAGTGATATAATGGACTATGGAGACTCAAAATGGGGAGGGTGGAAGGTAGGGTAAGGGATAAAAAGCTACAAGTTGGGTACAATGTACACTACTCAGGTGATGGGTACACTAAAATCTCAGACTTCACCATTAGACAATTCAACCATGTAACCAAAAACCAGTATATACTTTAATAAAAAAAGACTACTGAAATAAAATTTTTAATAAAAATAAAAGACAATAATAAAATTAATATGATACAAACATTATACCTGCTACTCTTCCTAGTGAATTTCCTAATCAGTCTAAAATCTTGCATGGTAAATTATGAAGCTAATAAATTGTGTATATAATAAAATATGAATCAAAACCAATTTTAAACAAAAGTAATATAATCAAGACTTGGTACATTTGTGTTTATATTGTGTATCCTTACAAAGTAAAGATATTAACCTTACTCAAAATGAGGTCTAGATGTTTTCCTCAGGATCTGAGAGGTAATGTCTAGGAGTTTATGCCTGAGGAGAGTGTCTTTGTTTGCTTGAGAGTAAAACTAGGTCACTGGAAAGTGAAACAATATGATTTAGGGTTGTAGCTGGCCACGCCTTTGGGGGTCGGTGCCCCCTATGTCACAAAGAGCAACGTGATTTAAGGTGAGGCTTTAGGTTACATGGAATCAGTGGCCCAGGAGACTGACTAGCCACATGGGAATCAATCAACAAATAATGGCTATGTAATGGAGCCTCAAAAATTACTTGTAAAACCAGGGCTCGGCTGGGCGCGGTGGCTCACGCCTGTAATCCCAGCACTTCGGGAGGCCGAAGCGGGCAGATCACGAGGTCAGGAGATCGAGACCATCCTGGCTAACATGGTGAAACACCATCTCTACTAAAAATACAAAAAAATTAGCCAGACATGGTGGCGGGCGCCTGTAGTCCCAGCTACTCGGGAGGCTGAGGCAGGAGAATGGCAAGAACCCAGGAGTTGGAGCTTGCAGTGAGCTGAGATTGCGCCACTGCACTCCAGCCTGGGTGACAGAGCGAGACTCCGTCTCAAAAAAAAAAAAAATACAGGGCTCAGGTGAGCTTCCCTGATTCGCTGTACCCTCTACGTCACACCTTAATTCTGGGAATTTAACGCATCCTACTCTATGGGGAGAATACAATACAAGATCCTCATTTGGTACTTCCCAGAACTGTTTCTTATTTTTCTCTTGGTGAAATGTAATGTGCATCTCTACCCTGTAAATATCCGTAACTTTTAGTATAAAAGCATTCAGTGAGTTCTGCTTATCTTTCTAGGTAATTACTGAATGTGAAGGTAGTTTTGGGAAATCCCCACACTTGCAGTTGGTGTGAAGTGAGAGCGATCTTCTGTAAACTCTTGCTCTAAACTGTGCAGCCAGTTAAACTCTTCACAATAATATCAAAGGCCTAGGAGTGTTTATATCTACATATTCATAATATTCCTACACAAGAATTTGGCATAACATGTATCTTTAATTTTATTTTTCTGTAGATGTGAACAATAATTTGGTTAACTGAGATAGGTAAGAAACAGACAACCAGTTTTGATGGGAATCTGAAAGGTTGGACCTGACAGGGGTAAAGAAAGGGTGATGCTCCTGATGAGACAATGAAAGGTGGTGAGAACACTTGGGATAAAAAGAATGCCTGAGGGGTCATGCCCTGGGTTGGTTCCATGTGGGGATATTAGACTCTCATTAAAATAAAAAAGACCAGAGGCTAGGCACAGTGGCTCATGTCTGTAATCTCAGCACTTTGAGAGGCCAAGGCGGGCAGATTGCTTGAGCCCAGGAGTTGGTGACCAGCCTGATTAACATGGTGAAACCCTGTCTCTACTAAAAATACAAAAATTAGCCAGGTGTGGTGGTGCACACCTATAATCCCAGCTACGTGGGAGGCCGAGGTATGAGAATCATGTGAACTCAGGAGGCAGAGGTTGCTGTGAGCTGAGATCATGCCAATGCTCTCCAGCATGGGTGACAGAGTGAGACCCTGTCTCAAAAAAATAAAAAAAGAAGAAAAAAGAGGGCAGAAAATATATGATATAGATAAATACTCCTTTATACTTATTTCCAAATGGAAGAATATAGACAAAAAGTGAGCTATAAAATAAATTTAAAACCTTCTAATGAGCATTTAGAAAAAAAGAACTAGAAAAGAAATGATCACATCTTCATGACAAGCAAGAAAGGTATCATTTCATGAAATGCCTACTGAAGTAACCCATAGACATCTACATGCATGAAAAATGTTTGTCCTGGTTATGGTGAAAGATGTGTTTCTTACTATGACTCACAATCATAAAAATGTTGACAACTTTGGTCAGGATATTACCAAGTCCTAAATTAAGTCAGTCAAATGGAAAGTTAACTTCCAAGGTTGAATCTTGGAAAAACAGTAATAGGTAAATATGTACCCAATGGTACACGCTGGAATATGGATATATTTAACACACTGTTACTTAAGAGGTTTTTGGGGAGAAGAGAGAGTCTCTTTCAGGATGTCAGTATTTTGAGAGGGCAGTTTCCTGATTCCTTCCAAGTTATAAAGTTGAAAATAGAGCACTAGGTCTCTAAAAAATAAAGGAAAAATTATGTTGTAAAATCTGTATTCTTTTATGTTTTTAACAATTAAATCTGTATACAATGAAGGTGCAGAAATATACATATTTTTGAACAAAGATGACCAGAAATATAGGCAATGTTTAGCTGCATGAATTGTGTTGCTCTCTTCCTCATTCTTCCCCACCCAGGAGAAGAAGAAACCTGGGGTCAGTGACGTGCATGCAGACTTTGGAAAGGCAAATGGGCTGCAGATGGGTAAATCTCTCAAAGGAAAGCTAGCTGGGAAGCTGGTTATTATCTGACACATCACAAAATGGAGAATTTTTTCCCCTTGTAGAAGAGCTGTCTCACTAGTAGACATCAGAATGTTCATTCAAAAATGATTTCTTTCCAGAAATGAATATGCTTCCTATGAAAAGCTCCAGGATAAGTCATATGGAAGGCATATAGCTCAGTATGGTAATAAATAGAATGCTTAGAAGTTTCCATGGGATGTGGGTCCACCGTAAACACACAAGGCAATCAAATAACGGAATCTAAGAACATTGTAATTAAATACATGGCCATTGGAAGACAAAAAACATGTTCTGCAATATCTCTCTTTCACCGTAGTTTGTGTTTCACTTATTAGTTCTCTCCATAATTTCAGGAGACAGTGAAGTCACCCCATTCATTAGCTCATATATCAGGTTAACAAAAATTTGGAAACCTGCCATGTACCAGGACCATTCTAGGCACTGAAAATACAGCCACGAAGAGTTAAAATTCCTTAGACATTATAGTCCAGCATGTAGAAGTGACAGATAAACAGAAGTATGTGAGACTTGGTACAAGAGAGCACAAGAAGAATCAAAATAGAATGGAATTATAAAGAGAGTGGTTTAGGATGGCTTCTCTCATGACTTTAAAACTGAAAAGAAACTTGAATAACTGAAGGAGATGCCAGAAGGTTTTGAGGTGACAGAGTATCCCAGTGACTGAGATGAGCAAGTAAGGGCTGAGACAGAAGCTTCTGTAGAGACAGAATAATGGTTCCTAAAAGATGTCCACATCCAGTCCCCAGGACTTATGATCACGTTGTTATACAGCAGGGGAACAGAGGTTGTAGATGCAATTAAGGTTGCTAGTCAGTTAACCAGAGAACAGAAAGATCATCCTGGATTATCCAGGAGTGATCAAAACAATTACAAGGGACCCAAAAGGTGAAAGAGGAAGGCATAAGAAGAGTGGCAGAGGGAGCATGACTATGGGGATGCAAGTTGCTGCCTTTGAAGATGGAGGAAGGGAAGCAAGAGCCAAGGAGTATGGACAGTGCCTAGACACTGATAAACTAAAGTAAAGGCTTCTCCCCAAGAGCATCCAGAAAACATGAAGCCCTACAGACAACTTGATAATTGCCCAGTGAGATGTATCAGACTTCATCCCTAAAGAACACAAAAATAATAAATGTTTGTCTCTCAGTCTGCTCAGTCTGTGGTCACTGGGTACCAGCAAAAGGCAACACAGTGCCCTTGGGAGGACAGAGAAACAGCAGGGAGAATAAAGTGGCTGGTAAAGACAGAGCAAGAAGGAGAGGACAGGAGATGTAGTTAGAGAGGTGGCAGGGAGGGGATGAAGAGCAGATCACAGGGTCTCTAAAAGTCAATTAAAGAGGTTGTAACTTTAATAAAAATAAGCCAAACAGGCTTTTGAGCTGAGGAATGGCAATCTGACTTACATTTCCTAAGGATCACTTTGGCTGCTATGAGAACAGATGTCAGGATGTGAAGGCGGGTGGCAGGGCCACCAGGTGTAAGATGGTTGTCAATAATCCAAGAAAGAGGTTTGGCCATTTAGGCCAGGGCAATGGATTTGAGCATGGACAGAAGTGAAACAGGTGGAAGAGACATACAGGGATTCACAGTTGCTTGATTCTTACCTGAATTCCCTTCCCTTTGGATTGCTGTCTTCATCATCCAAATCTTTTCTTCCCTTAGGAAGTGGAAAGTATCCCTGTGGAATGCTTGATGTCCTGCAAACAGGCAAACTTACATGCTTAATCCCAACACATTCTAGGTAATATCAAGGTAAAGTTTACCAGAAATTTAGGTTCTTACTGCACACTCAAACTTGAACCATAGGTTCAAGTTACTAATTAAGACTTGAAACTTTGTACCCTAGGATACAAAGCCACCTCTGGGGCCTGACGTTCTGTTACAGAGGGTGCCTGTCCTCACCCACTGAGAGCAGGTTCCTGAAGTTCTCCAGCATCACATCTCGATACAGCTTCCTCTGAGCAAGGTCCAGCAGCCCCAGCTCTTCCTCAGTGAAGACCACAGCCACGTCCTTGAAGGTCATTGCCTCCTATAGCATCAAACATATGCAATCTCAGTCTCATGACCAATGATTCCTGGGAGAGGGGTGGCACTGAGCAGACAGAGGGGAGGGGTGGGAAGTTGTTTTGGATCTTGAGAGACATAGGTCAACTCGTAGATTTCCTACTCATTCTGTCTGTATCCTGACAATGACTGATTTCCCTGAGTTCCACCAGAAACACAAAGATGAAAAAGACTTCCTGTATTTTTACTTCGTGCAATCATTGAGTCTTCTTGTAAGTAACCCTCTAGGACTCTAAATGTGGCATCCTGGGCTACACATATATATGTTTTGATAAATCTTGACAATCACCCTCAGCAACATTTAGCAATTCAGTCCTGACTTTGTTTGATAATGCCCATTGTCTTCCTCTCTCAAACTCGAACCCTGGATGTTATTGTTTTTCTTCAACATTTGCCAAACTGACAAGCTTATGGTGACATGTTTGAGTAGTTATGCAGTGAGTCCTCTATACTCTCCAGGCAAAAACTACATACATTAATTGCAACACTGAATGTCATGATCTGCAGCCAGCGTGCCTCAGAGCGCATATATAAGGCTCTGTCCCTTCCCAGTCATGTGACCTTGGACAAGTTGGCCTGAATGCATTACTTTCCTCTCTATATAATGATCGTCACATGATATAGTTTTCAAATTAAACAGTGGAATATACGTATGTTACTGGGGAAAAGTGTGTAGCAAGACTGAATACTTAATAAACATTAGCTATTTTTATTTTTGTCAATTATTGTCGATTTTATCTCATGTCTGCATAGTGTTCCATGGAACTAATCTATTGTTATTCTAAATAATGAATATTTAATTTTATATCTTTTCCATGATTACCAATCCAATAAAGAACATTTCAGGTAGATCTTACTCTCCTATTTAAAGTAAGTTTTAAATAACAAAATGTCAGAAATTTAATATTATGATTATGTCATGTTTTCTCAATTTTTTTTTTTACCTAACTTCAAAATCTTTCAAGGGGATACATTATTCTGGTTTTTCTTAACATAGCCAAAAGCAAGTTATCAATTTTCCCATTACTTTGGTAATCTGATTAGGAAGAAATTGTTTTTTTCTTTTTTTTCTTTTTGTAGAGATAGAGTCTTGCTATGTTTCCCAGGATGGTCTTGAGCTCCTGGTTTCAAACAATCCTCCTTCCTAAGCCTCCTAAAGTGCCAGGATTATAGGTGTGAGTCACAGGCCTGGCCATGATTTTGTTTTATTATTCTCACTTATTTGATTATAAATGAATACCACCATCTTTTCAAATATTTATTGACATCTGTTTTTCTCCTTCTATACATTCCTGGTAATGTCCTTTATTTGTATTTCTTTGGATTTTCTTCCCTGGTCTGGGCATAAGATTCTTATTTTGGATTGTATCTTGTTTTAGATATCCAAATGGTAAATATTTTCACCTTAGACTGTTACATTTTCTGGTTTGTGTAAGGCATCTTTTCCCATAATGAATTTTAAAATGTTCTATAACAATTGTGGTAATTGCCGTCCTTGGGTGCCTGAAGTGCTGGGGGCCATGGAAGAGGTACTACGACAGGAAGAGAAGATGCCCCCCTCCCAAGGTAGGTCCAGGGAGGAGCGATGCCACCTGTGGACATCATCACTCAACAGGACACTCCAGACACCCACACCACAGGGCACAGTTCCCTCAATGGAGAATTCTCTCTTTCTTTTTCTCTCTCTTTCAACTGAGTAAAAAGGCTAAAATAACTAATATTCTGGACCCTTGGTCTCCTGTCTGAACCTGAGCAGGTTTCTCATATTTCATGTGTTTAAGAGGAAGATAAGAACAGCCTCATTCAGCTGTTCTGAGGAGTAAATGAAGAAACAAAACACAAGTGACTGGCAAATTTTCTAGTATCATGCACAAAAAATTTAGGTTAGGCTGGGCGCGGTGGCTCACGCCTGTAATTCCAGCACTTTGGAAGGCCGAGGCAGGTGGATCACCTGAGGTCGGGAGTTCGAGACCAGCCTGACCAACATGGAGAAACCCTGTCTCTACTAAAAATACAAAATTAGGCATGGTGACGCATGCCTGTAACCCCAGCCACTCAGGAGGCTGAGACAGGAGAATCCCTCGAACCTGGGAGGCAGAGGCTGCAGTGAGCCGAGATCGCACCATTGCACTCCAGCCTGGGCAACAAGAGTGAAACTCCATCTCAAAAAAAAAAAAATTAGCTTACATATTACTTTGGTCAAATTCCTTAGTATATAAAGGAGTAAAGAAAGGCCAGTAAGTAAAAGACATAGAAGGCATGACTCAGGCATGGGGGAAAGAGAATCTAGCTCTTCCTGTGTGGAAACTTCCAGCAATCCTTGTGTGAAGCCACAGTTACAGCCTGCCATGATGTGCCACATATGGATACTCTATCTACAAAACAGCCAACGTGGCACACATCAAAAGTAGCCTTTCAAAACTGAGTTCCTGGTGTCTGGAAGTATAAAGTAATTAAAAAGGAACATCGATTAAATGGGAATATGGTGCAACCATTAAAAATGAACATTATATAATATTAAATACAAAGAGTGCAATTTAAATTAGATTAACATCACCAATACAAATACAGTTATGAATGCACATGAGGAAGAGTATCACAGGATAAAAATAGCTAATGTGTGAGCAGAGAAGTAGTATAATGAAATAATTATCCATTCCTACAATCTTGTCTACTCCATAGAATAAATGATAGAAGAAAACAAGTAGTAAAAACAAATGCAAAATCCACTCAAAAGTAACAAAGGAAGTACATGGTACACAAGAGATCCTCAAATGTCTGTTTTTCTCCTTGAGTCTTCCCAAGACAGAGGAAAACTTGTGACAATTTAAGTACTGAGAGGGAATTTTAAGAGTAATAGAAGCAAGTCCTACCCACCTTGAACGTGGTCATTTTCCCTCTTACTTCTGGAAACTTGCAGAGTCCTGAGTGATGCAGTTCCTGGGAAAGCAGAATTGTGCCTGCAAAGTGCCAGGAAAGGCAGAAAAAGAGACATGAAAAGGTGGCCAGGGATGCCACCCACCAACAGGGATGTGTATTGTGAATTGGCACATGACTGTTCACAGCAGCATTAATCATAAAAACCCAAAACGGCACAACCAAAATGCCCTCCTGTGGGTAAATGAATAGACAAATCATGGTCTATCCATACAATGGAATCTTACTTGGAAATTTAAAGAAATGAAGTACTGACTCATGCTACAACATACATGAACCTTTGAAACATTATTGCTAAATGAAAGAAGCCAGTTAAAAAAGACCACATATTGCAGGATTCCATTTCTATAAAATGTCTGGGTAGGAAAATGCATAGAGAAAACTGATTAGTGATTGCTTCAGATCTGAGTGAGAATGAAGTCTAACCATAAGTAGGCAGGAGGAAATCAATATGAGCATGAAATGATCACCGAATTGTGGTGATGGTTACTCCATTCAGCAAACTGTCTAATGATCACTGGATGTACACCTGATATAAGTAAGTTATATGATACAATAGGTTGGAAAAAATAATTGTTAATGTACACGTTATCTAACTTAAGAGTCAATTCTAAGGCCATATTGATAGAATATTTGTAGTTGAACAAAGAATAAATGGAGAAGGTCATTTTACAGCTGAATGCCCACTAATAATGTTATCTATTCCTAAGAAACTTTATTCTTTTCAATTTTTTTTAAGTAACTTTATAGTGGAGAAATCTGAAAGACAGCGTCTCGGCCAAGTGGACAAGGTTGAGATCACCAATGAAGAGACAAACTGACATCACTTGGACCCTGTTATGTTGCAATGAAAAGGACATTTCAGCACTTCTGTGGTATCCCTACCAACAATGCATAATCTGAACCCGCAATTCACCACTTCTGTGGTATCCCTACCAACAATGCATAATGTGAACCCGCACATGAATTACATCAGACACAACTCCAAATGAATGCCTTTCTCCAAAATAACTTGCCTATACTCTTCAAAAATATCAAGCATAGAAAGACAAAGGGTGTAGAATCCTCAAGATTAAAGATTATGGAAATGTGACAATTAAAGGCAATGCATAAAATTAGACTGTGAACACAGGTGGTGGTGGCAGATGGGTAGGGGACACTTGTAAGAACCTTAAGTGAAAAATAGAACAAATTTAAATATAGAACTGCAGAGTACATAACATGAAGTTAGGTAATATGTTATCTAGCACTGTATAATAGATAATACAATAAACTACTATTAGCAGTCTTTGGATAGATATCTAATATTTAATAAATAACATTATCTGGTATACAATCTGAAATTATCTAATATGTTATGTGAAACCATATACTAGGTCTTCCTAAATTCTACTTACCAAGACAGCCCCTGGTACGTGGGCTTCCTTGCTGCAGAAAGCTATAATCAGCTGTCTCTGGTTACAGGTATGTTTCTAGTGGTATTCAGCTGATGGTCATCAACAAAACAAACAGGAAAAATGTAAACACTTGGCAAACGTGGGTAAAGAGTAAATAAGAATTTCTTAGGCTACTTTTGCAACTTTTCTATAGGTTTCAAATGACATGAAAATAAAAAGTTTTATAATTTTAGGAAACAGTCATAGGAAAAATAATAACAATAATGAGATTAATGAGTATGATATAACATGATAATTCACTAGTTTAGTCTGTCAGCATTTGGAAATTTCCATAGTTAAACACATAAGGGGGAAATATTAAGAAAAAAATTATAAAAATTTGTAAATGTTCATAAATAAACCTATAAATATACAAAAAGAAAGAAACACATTACGAGCTTAACAGTTGCTACCTTTACTTCATGGATTCGTAGGTAATAAAAACATTTTGTTCTTTTTTTTTTTTTTTTGAGACGGAGTCTCGCACTGTCGCCCAGACTGGAGTGCAATGGCAGATCTCCGCTCACTGCAACCTCCGCCTCCCAGATTCAAACGATTCTCCTGCCTCACCCTCCCGAGTAGATGGGATTACAGGCGCCCACCACCACGCCCAGCTAATTTTTGTAATTATTTTTTAGTAGAGATGCGGTTTCACCATGTTGGCCAGGCTGGTCTCGAACTCCTGACCTCGTGATCCGCCCGCCTGGACCTCCCAAAGTGCTGGGATTACAGGCGTAAGCCACCGCGCCAGGCCCATTTTGTTCTTAATAAAGAAAAATAGAATGCTGTACAATGACATGGTTCTATAAGAATACAAAATATTTGTAATGATTGAAACAAAATAGTTGACAACATTTTTAGAAACTCAGAAAATTTCAAGCCCCTAAGTCTTGCTTTCCCCACCTAAGTCCAACTAGTTCCTCTGCCTCAGTGACAACGTATCCCAAGAGAAGATCAAATCAGGCTCTGACCCAGACTGCTTAGGTTCCAACCCCAGCTCCACCTCTCACTAGTCGGGTGCCTATGCGCTCTGTGTCTCACTTTCGTTTTTAAAATAGAAAAAAGCAATACTTCTCCACAGAGCCACGGTGTGGCGTAAATTTATTTGTATAAAGCCCTTAGAATGAAGTTACTAATTAAGACTTAATTATTATCGACCCCCATGCCCGAGGACACAACCTATACACTCTCGGTTGGGGTGAGCATCTCGGTCAAAGAGCCAAGGACCACTCACGTAGAGCTTTGCCCTCAGAAGCCAAGAAGTCCCTCCCTGCAGCTCTTCTGGAAAGGTCGGGTTGGGGAACGAGAAAGCTGTGAAACACCTTGACCGCGTCGCCGTCCCCCATAAAAGTTAAATGCTCCTTTCCCTTCATGAAAGTGGACGCAACCCTCGCTCTCCTAAAAAGAGGTCAGAAGGCTTCCGGGATCATCCAGCGTCCTGCAGGGATCAGGGAGAAGGGCCGAGGCCCCTGCAGCTGGAGCTCTGACCCCACCCGGTCCTTCGTGGGAAATTAACAAGAGACCACCAGTCACCAAGTGACAGGGACTGCTTTAAGGCTCTCATTTGTGTTACCTCTTCCAGTTCCCAAAACGATTCCATTAGGATGGCCCTAAAGTCCCCATTTTAAAGAACAGTAACGGGAAACCCAAGGAGATTAACACCCCAACGTTATATCGAGAAGAAGTGGCCACGCGCGTGGGGTGCAGGGGGCGGAGTGGGCGAGCTCAGAGCCCCGGAAACCCTGAAACCAGGTGAGACGCGACCCAACCAAGTACCAATGCCCCCGGGAAGCGAGGACAGACCCAAGCCCAAGAAGGTGCCACGGACGAGAACGCAAACAGCGGCCCTTGCCCCTCCAAACCTCTACTCTCCGACGAGGCCCCTTTTCCCCTAATTCGATCACCAGTTCTTTGAGGATCCAATGCGTAGGTCCAGGAAATTCAGAAGGGCCTGCAACGCGCGGAACTGCCCCAAACTATCGCGGAAAAACTGCAGCAACCTCAGTCCCCGAGCGGAAGTGTCCGCGACTCCACCGAATGTTTGGACTCCACTTCCCAGAATTCCCCGGGACCCGCCAGCCGGAGCCAAACTGACCGCGACTCCACTGAGCGTCTGGACTACACTTCCCAGAATTCCCTGGGACCCAACTGCCGGAGCTAAACCGACCGCGATTCCACTGAGGGTCTGGACTGTACTCCTGCAGCATTACACTCAAAGGGAAGTGTTGACGACTACTGGGAAGCCCTTGACCACTCTTCCCACGGGGAACGAATCTCGTACCCCCGAGCGCCTGTTGGGAAATGTGGACTTCTACCCTGAGAGTCGTCCTTCCCTCTCCCTGGGTGCCTAAGAGAAAATACCGTATAGAAAGGAATTCCTGAAGTCTAAACCCCTCTAGTGAGGACAGGAGTGTTACTGGAAAGGGAACAAGCGAGATGATACACTCTTCAAATAAGTTTTGCCAGTGGTAAGAAATGGCATGTAGTTTTAATTTATAACTCTTGTAAAGATGGCATATTCTTGCATATTTTCAGGTGTCATTATTACATTTTTTGTAAATTGTCCAGATGTTTTGCCCACTTTCTTATTGAGTTTTTGGTTTTATCCCTCACTTTTCAAGCACTGTTCTTATATTCATGATATTAACATTTTATCTCGCAAATATTTTCTCAACAAAAACGTTTTTTTTTATTGTTTTATCTATGCAAAACATTTTAATGTATTTTATTATTTAAAACATCTCTATTGAGGTGTAATGCACAAAACGTGAAATTCACCATTTTAGGATATATGTAGTACAAATAAAAAGTTAGGAAACATTTTCATCACCCCAAAAACCCCATACCCACTAAGCAGTCACTGTCTAACACTAATCTCTGTCCTATTGAATTACCTATTGTGGACATTTCATATAAATGGAATTATACATTATGGAACCTTTTGTTTCTGACACCTTTCACTTAGCATCCTGCTTCTTTTTTTTTTTTTTGAGACGGAATCTCAAAAAAAGTGCCAGGCTGGAGTGCAGTGGCACGATCTTAGCTCACTGCAACCTCCGCCTCCCGGGTTCAAGCGATTCTCCTGTCTCAGCCTCCCGAGTAGCTGGGACTACAGGCGCGTGCCACCACGCCTGGCTAATTTTTCTGTATTTTTAGTAGAGACGGGGTTTCACCGTGTTAGCCAGGATGGTCTCGATCTCTTGACCTCGTGATCCTCCCGCCTCGGCCTCCCAAAGTGCTGGGATTACAGGCGTGAGCCACCGCGCCCTGCCAGCATACTGCTTTTAAAGTTCATCCACATCACAGCATGTACCAGTACTTCATAATATTTTATGTTTCTACTACGATTTGTTTTTTTTGTTTGCTTTGTCTTGTTTTGTTTTGAGGTGGGGTTTCCCTCTTGATGCCCAGGCTGGAGTGCAATGGCACGATCTCAGCTCACTGCAACCCCCGCCTCCTGGGTTAAAACGATTCTTCTGCCTCAGCCTCCCAAGTAGCTGGCATTACAGCCATGCGCCACCACACCCAGCTAATTTTTTTGTATTTAGTAGAGACAGGGTTTCACCAGGTTAGTCAGGCTGGTCTCGAACTCCTTACCTCAGGTGATCCGCCCACCTCAGCCTCCCAAAGTGCTGGGATTACAGGCTTGCGCCACAATTTGTTTATCCATTCATTGATTGAGGGACATTTGGGTTCTTTCCACCTTTTGGCTGTAGTCAATAGTGTTGCTACAAACAGTGGTGTACAAGTATTTGTTTCATCACCTACTTTCAATTCTTTGGGGTATATACCTAGATATGAAATTTAGTGATTCATATGGTAATTCTATGTTGGGAACCACGAAACAATTTTCCACAGCAACTGCACCATTTTTACATTCCCACCTTCAGTGTGTGAGGGTAGTAATTTCTCCACATCCTCTCCAATACTTATTTTGTATATATGTATGTATAAAATATATATGTATATGTATATGTGTGTGTGTATAAATTGAAAACGGGGTCTCCCTGCGTTGTGCAGGCAGAATTGCAGTGGCTATTCACAGACAACATCTCACTACTGATCAGCATGGGAGTTCTGACCTGCTGTGTTTCCACCCTGGGCCAGTTTACCTCTCCTGAGGCAACCTGGTAGTCCTCTGCTCCTGGGAGATCACCATGTTGATGTCGACTTAGTGTGGACACCCAGTGGGCATAGCTCACTACACCTCAAAACTCCTGGGCTCAAGCGATCCTCCTACTTCAGCCTCCCAAGTAGCTGGGACTGCAGGTGCCTGCCACCACATCGGCTATTTTCTATTTTTAAAGATGATAGCTAACATAGCTGTTGTAAAATGGCATCTCATTATTGGTTTGATTTGCATTTTCCTAATGACTAATAGTTGAGCATCTTTTCACATAATTGTTGGTAACTTGTATATCTGAAATTTCTATTTGTATCTTTGCCCATTAGAAAATTGGGTGGTTTCTCCTCTTGTTATTGAGTTGTAAGAGTTCTTTCTTTCTTTTCTTTTTAAGAAACAGAGTCTCTCTTTGTTGCCCAGGCTGGAGTGCAATGGTACATCACGCCCCACTGCAGCCTTGACCTCCCAGGCTCAAACAATCCTTCTGCCTCAGCCTCCTGAGTAGCTGGGACCACAGGCATGGGTCACTATGCCTGGCTACCTTTGTTTTTTGTTGTTGTTTTTTGTTTGTTTGTTTGTTTCTTGTAGAGACATGGTTTTCGCCATGTTGCCCAGGCAGGCCTCAAACTCCTGGGCTCAAGTGATCCACCCATCTCAGCCTTCCAAAGTGCTGGGATTATAGGTGAGAGCCACCTCACCTGGTCTAAGAGTTCTTTATATATTCTGATACTAGAAGAATTCATGCTCTTGACAATGTCTCTGTATGCATAGCATTTTTTTTTTTGCTCTAGTCCAATTTATGTGGGGTTTTTTTAGCTTGTGCATATGGTGTCTTATCTAAGAATCCATTCCAAATAAAAAGTCTTGAAGATTAACCTTTATGTTTTATTCTAAGAGTTGTATAGCTTAACCTCTTATATTTAGGTCATTGATCATTTTGAGTTAATTTTTAAGTATAGTGTGAAGTGCGGATCTAACTTCATTATGTTGCATATGTATATATATTTGCCCAGCATTATTTGCTGAAGAGACTATGCTTTCTCCATTAAGCAATCTTGGATCCTTCTTGAAAATCAAGTGACTTTAGATGTATGAGTTTCTTTATGGACTCTAAATTCTATTCCATTACTATAGCTTGGTAGTAAGTTTCGAAATGAAGTGGGAGCCATCCATCATGTTCCTTTAAAAAAGAAAGATTTTGTCTATTTGCCTCCATTACAATTACATATGAATTTATGAATTGATTTCTGCAAAAAAAAAAAAGGCTGTTTGGATTTTGATAGTGATTGCAGTAAAACTGTAGATTGGTTTGGGTAGTACTGTCATCACAAAAATGTGAAGTCTTCCAATCCATGAATGCCTAGACAATAAGCGAATTCAGCATGATCATAGGATACATGATCAGGATACCAAAATTAATTTATATATATTATACTAGCAATGAACACACGGAAATCAAAGTTCATACCTAGATGGAAGTTTGACAAAAGATGTACAAGGGTTGTAAGATGAAAATTACAACACACTGATGAAGAAAATCCAACAATATTAAATGAATGGAGACACATTCCATGTTTGAGGATCGTGGGACTCAATATAGCAAAAATGTTCATTCTCCCCAAATTGATACACAGGGTTAAAATAATTACTATCAAAATTCCAGCAAGATATTTTGTAGATATAAAATTATTCTAAAATTTATATGGAAAGGCAAAGGAACTAGAATATGAGTATGGTTAGGGTTGTCTTCACAGTTGAAAATCTTTCATTTAACCAGAGACATTATAGGGGAGACACTCTGTAAAAAGCTGGTCTCAAACTCTTAGATTCAATTGATCCTTCTGCCTCAGCCTCCCAAAGTGCTGGAATTACAGGTGTGAGCCACCATGCCTGGCCACTTACAAGAGACTTACAAAAGTGAGGCACTAAATTATTAAAGTAAAAATCAATAAATTTCCTTGAAAAATGCCCTGTATAAATGTGATTATTGTATTTTCAGCTTCAGTTTGATTTCACATCACCATCAAAATCAAGGAGCACATAAAAGAAAGCAAGCTTGTTTACTTTTATTTTTATTTTTATTTTTTTGAGATGGAGTCTCACTCTGTCACTCAGGCTGGAGTGCAGTGGCGTGATCTCGGCTCACCGCAACCTCCACCTCCCTGGTTCAAGCAATTCCCTTGCCTCAGCCTCCTGAGTAGCTGGGATTACAGGCACACGCCACCACCACACCCAGCTAATTGTTTTGTATTTTTAATAGTGATGGGTTTTCACCATGTTGGCCAGACTAGTCTCAAACTCCTGACCTCAGGCACTCTGCCCACCTCGGCCTCCCAAAGCGCTGGGATTACAGGTGTGAGCCACCGCACCTGGCCAAAAGCAAGGTTATTATACTCACTTTGGCACGGGAGAAGACCTCTCATAACCAGCAGACAATTTTCTCAGAAAACCTATGTGTAATGAATGTGGACAAGGATTCGGTGATGGCTCTAGACTTGAAATTCATCACTAACTAGATTTAGGAGACAGCCCCAATATCTTTAATAAAATATATGGGCTTTAACGATAGCTGAGTTTTTCCCATTCATGAGTTTTCATCCATAAGCCCATCACCTTGTCAGTGTTGGAAACTTCAGAAATGTGATGCACCTTCAGATGGATTAAAGTCTTCACGTTTATTAAGGAGTCCATGACAATGCTACATCTTTTACAGATAATGAGTATGGTTAGGGTTGTCTTCACATTTGAAACCCTTTCATTTAACCAGAGACATTACAGGGGAGACACTCTATAAAAAGTATGTGCTTTAAATATTCCTGCTTATGTTATGTTCATCTTTATGCCAATATTTTTATGCTGTCCAATTCATCAGATTTTCTTTGTTGTTTAGTGATTTCCACGCCCCCCACCCCCAAATACTAGCCTTCCCAAGTTTGTGGAAACAGTGTACTATTTTGTTATAGAAACTAAAGAAGATCAATCAGGGGTGGTGGTCCATGCCTGTAGTCCCAGCTTCTCAGGGGATTGAAGCAAGAGGATCACTTAGGCCCAGGAGTTCGAGGCTATAGGGCACTGTAACTGCATCTGTGAATAAGCAATCCAGCCTGGGCAACACCGAGAGACCCCATCTCAAAAACAAAACAAAACAAAACAAAATGCTGTGCGCATGGCTCAGGCCTGTAATCCCAGCACTTTGGAAGGCTGAGGAGGGAGAATCGCTTGAGCCCAGGAGTTTGAGACCAATTTGGGCAACATAGTGAGACCCCATCTCTACAACAAAAATTTAGCCAGGCGTGTTGTTGCATGCCTATAGTCCCAGCTTTTGAGGGGCTGAGGCAGAAGGATTTCTTGAGCCTGGGAGGTCAAGGCTGCAGGGAGCCGTGATCATTCCACTGCATGCCAGTCTGGGTGACAGAGCAAGACTGTCTCAAAAGAAAAAAAAAAAAAAAGCCAATTCTTGCCTAATAATGGTCAGAGTTTATAGTGGTACAACCAGTTTGAAATACTTTTCGGAAGTATCTACTAAAATTAACATATTCATATCTTATAACTCTTTGCTGTCACATATATCACATTATTAAGGTTTCTCTACAGAACAGACACTGAATTTGAAGATGTGAGCCCTGACTGAAGCATGTACCACAATCTCCACACTTCCATGGTTTTTCTCCAGTGTAGATCCTCTTATGCATATCAGCATTCAAGTGATCCAGCAATCCCACTACTAGCTGTATATCCAAAGGAAAGGAAATCAGTGTGTTGAACTCCTATCTGCACTCCTATATTTATTATAGTACTATTTGCAATAGCTAACATATGGAACCAATCTAAGTGTTCATCAACAGAAAATGGTAAAGAAAATGTGGCATACATACACAAAGGTACACTATTTAACCATAAAAAATAATAAAATTCTGTCATTTATGGCAAGATAAAGATAAGCTTTGGAGAACATGATGTTGAGTGATGTAAATTCAGGCCCAGAAAGATAAATACCACATGTTTTCACACATATGTGGAAGCTAAAAAGTTGACATCATAGAAGCAGCATAGCATTGGCTGGGCACGGTGGCTCATGCCTGTAATCCCAGCACTTTGGGAGGCCAAGGCAGGTGGACCATTTGAGTTTGGGAGTTCAAGGCTAGCCTGGCCAATGTGGTGAAACCCCATCTTCACTAAAAATACAAAAATTTTTAGGCATGGTGGGCATGGTGGCTCACGCCTGTAATCCCAGCACTTTGGGAGGCCGAGGTGGGCGGATCATCTGAAGTCAGGAGTTCAAGTCCAGGTTGGCCAATATGGCAAAACCCCATCTCTACTACGCATACAACAATTAGTCAGGTGTGGTGGCGGGCGCCTGTAGTCCCAGCTACTCGGGAGGCCAAGGCAGGGAAGAATCGTTTGAACCCAGGAGGCAGAGGTTGCAGTGAGCCGAGATCAAGCCATTGCACTCCATACTGGGCGACAGAGCGATACTCTGTCTCAAAAAAAAAAAAAAAAAAGTACAAAAATTAGCTGGGCGTGGTGGTGCGTGCCTGTAATCCCTGCTACTCAGGAGGTTTAGGCAGGAGAATCGCTTGAACCCAGGAGGTGGAGGCTGCAGTGAGAAAGGATCATGCCACTACACTCAAGCCTGGAAGACTCTGTTCTCAAAAAAAAAAAAAAAAAAAAAAAAAAGCAGAAGCAGCATGGCATAGCAATTACTAGAAGGGAAAAGTAGGAGAGAGGGTGGATGATGAAAGATTCGTTAACAGATATGAAAGTACAGTAAGATGATGAAAGGAACAAGTTCTAGTGTTCCACAGCACTAAAGGTGACTATAATTAATAATAACTTATTTTCAAATAACTAGAACAGCAGTTTTTGAACGTTCAAAGCACAAAGAAATGATAAATGATCCACAAATAAATGATAAAGGAGGTGATGGATATGCTAATAACACTGATTTGATCATTATACATTGTATACATGTATTGAAATATGCTGTAACCCATAAATATGGACAATAATTATATATCATTTAAAAATAATGATAAAATCATATCTAGATTCAAGCGCCTCTCGTAGCGCTTCCCACAGTCCTCACATTTGGATGTTTTTTCTCCACTGTGGTCGCTTTGTTGGTCTTGAAGGCATGAACTGTGCTCACTGCTCTTCCCACAATCCTCACATTGGAATAGTTTTTCTCTGCTGTGGAGTCTTTGATGGGTTAGATGAGTTGAGGCCCATCTGAATCCCTTTCCACACTCCTCACATTTGTAAGGCTTTTCTCCAGTGTGAATTCTTTGATGGAAACGAAGTTTTGAATTCTCAGTAAACCTCTTCCCACACTCTTCACATTTGAATGGTTTTTCTCCAGTATGGAGTCTCTTATGTCTCAAAATACCTGAGGCCCACCTGAAGCTCTTTCCACATTCCTTACAATTATAAGGTCTCTCTCCCGTGTGGACCCTCTGGTGCAAGTCAAGATTAAACTTACTAATGTAGCCCTTCCCACACTTCTGACATTTATACAGTTCTTCTTCTCTATAGGCTCTCTGATGTGAATGGCCCTGTGAATTCATATAAAATCTCTTCCCACATCCGTCGCACTTGAATGTTGTTTCTCCATTGTGGACCCGCTGATGTCTTGAAAGACATGAGGACCACCTGAAGCCCTTCCCACATACATTACAATTATATGGTTTGTCTCCTGTATGGTCCATCTGATGCTTACAAAGATCTTGCCTACAAGTGAAGCTCCTTCCACATTCTTCACATTTGTATAGTTTCTCTTTTGTGTGGTCCATGCAATGACTATTAAGTGCTGATCTCTGACCAAAGCTATTACTACAGGTATCACATCTAAATGATTTCTCTTGCATGTGGACCATGGAATGCCTATTAAGATTTGATCTACTATGGAAGCTCTTACCACATATATAACATTTGAATGGCTTCTCCCCAGTATGGATTCTTTGATGTTCCCGAAGCTGGGAATTGTGAATGAAGGCCTTCCCACATTCCTCACAAATATGAGGTTTTTCTCCTGTGTGTAATTTGCAATGAACATACATTCCTGATCTACGGCTGAAACTTTTCCCACACTGCTCACATTTGAATGGTTTCTCTCCAGTGTGGATTCTCTGATGAGTTTGCAGTTGTGAGTTCTGACTAAATGCCTTACTACACACATCACACTTATAGCGTTTCTCTCCCATGTGAACTTTCTGATGAAGACAAAGAGCTGAGCTATAACAGAATCTCTTCCTGTACTCATTACATGTATGGGATATCTTTCCTGAGTGTAATTGTTGATGAAGATCAAGGATGGAGACATCACTGAAGAATTTTTTACACTTCCCATGCTCAGAAGGTGTCTCTCCTATGTGAATTATAGATAGTCCTGCGTCAACCTGGGAGGGGACATCACCTTGTGTGGAGAACTGAGAGCTACTTATGGAGTCTTGAGGTCTAGTTAACTCACTTGCAGTTTGTTCCCAGATTTGCTGGCAAGACCACTCTTCATGTGGTCCTGTTTCTGGAACAGACTCCAACTCAGTTTGGATCTTGCCTCCTATAAGGACACAGAATTAAGAGATGTGGGTAAGTGAAACCTTTGTTCAGTGTTTTCAGGATTTCACTTAGGACATGGCCTGAAACTTTACTGAATACAAGGAAGGTACAGTTTGTGTTTTCCAAGTGCACCACGGTCTCTCGTTGTCACGAAACCAATTTTGAATGACATAATGTCTCATACGTGGTAGAAATGAAAGACTTAATTTAAAATATTAATATAATACAGTTAATGTGTTACTATTTCTACCAATTTCCTAGTTAGTCTAAAATCTTGCATGGTATATTATGTAACTACTAAATTATATATGTGATGAATCAGAAGGAACGTTAAGGGTAGGAGGACTTCAAGATGGCTGACTAAAGACACCCAGAGCTTGCGTCCTCCACAAAGAGCCAAAATAATGAGTAGTGCTCACTTCAGCAGCACATATGGTAAAACTGGAATGATCAGCCCCTGCACAAGGCCGATATGCAAATTCATGAAGTGTTCTATATATTTTATTACTAAAAAATTTAAAAAGCAAATAGATACTCATACATCAAATAGCATCTAAGAGGGATCACTGGAATTCAGCAGAGAAGTGACAGGAAACACCCGAAGCACAAAAGGAGAGCGAAGGGAGGTAGCCCTTCTGGCCGTGATCACCTGAAAGCCGGGAAAGGCTCCTAGTGCTGGGAAAGGGTAAGTGAGAGAGCCCTAGTGGTTTACATTTCCGCTGTGCACTCCAGCAATCAGCCATGAGAGAGGCCCTCGACCCCTGTGGGCCCTGAGACTAGCACAGGGGGCTACCTGGAGTCCATGCAATGGCACTCAGAGAGGGTACTCATGATGGGACCCACACACTTCCTGAGACTCAAGCAGCTATGGCACAGCGCTATTTTGAGAGCTGCACCCCCACCAGACTGCATCTTGCCCTGGGGCCCAACAGCCTTTGCATCTCCAAATCCCTGAAGCCCCATGGACATGCCCCCACATCCACCCAGAGGGTTACAATAATGCCTGTTAGACCCAGCAGTATGGCAGAGTCCCCAGCAATCTAGGCCACATAGTGTCCCATACTCTAGGGAATGGGCCGTGAAGGACACCAGGGAGGCTGCCCCCAGTACAGTACAAAGGGACCCAAAGTGTGTGCACTCACCAGAGCTTGAAAGCTGCCTGTCTGGGGCTGCTGCCTCTAACGGCAATGCTACCTCACCCCCAGCAGCAGGGCCACTGTACACTCATATGTGTTCTCATTCTGAGGAAAGTTTCTCTGCACACTCTGCCACTGCCACCCAAGCACACCTCCTAAAGGCATGGGGAGTCCCTTGCACTGCCCACCACAACCTGTGCCCGTGCACAGGACAAGCCCACTTCACTTGGTACCGCCCATCTCAGTGCCAGAGCATGACACAGAGGGACCTGGGGATTGCTCTACCCTGTGTTGCCTCAGGCACATGTGTGCACAAACAGGAGACCTGACAAAGACCCAGCTTGTGTGCTGCCAGTGCTGGAGCATGCCATCTGGGGACCTAGGGATCACGCCGCCTCTTCCACCACAGCCTACATCTGCCTGCACCACTGAAAGGCCTGAGGACAGGCTCACCTGGCCTGGCGTCATTCCTCCACTACCTAAGCATACCACCTGGGGCTGTTGAGATCACCCTGCCATGTTGGTTGCCCCAGGCATGAGCATGTACCATGCAGGGAGCTTTACAACAGACCCAGAACCCTGCCGCAGGTGCCCAAGCATGCTGTCTGGAGACCTAAGGATTTCCCTGCCCTGATCACCACCACTGGCATCTGTATACTCCTCCTAGTGACCTGAGGACAGGTCCTACAAGCCTGCTGCCACCATCACCGCTGACACTCACCTGCACACACCATGTGGGGGCCTCAGGACTGGCCCACCCAGCCCATCACCACTACCTCTAACACCGGTACACATAGCCTTAAAACCTGAGGGTTATCCTGCCACCACTATTGGGTACTATGCTCAGTACCTGGGTGACAGGATCATTTGCAATGCAAACCTCAGCATCACACAATATACCCAGGTAACAAACCTGCACATGTACCCCCTGAATCTTAAAATAAAAATTGAACAGCTAAAAGTCCTCCTCTTAAGACATTCCATTCCAGTGGGTAGAGATGACAGCTAAATAGAAATATATAAGACACAGTATAAGACAACACCAGAAGGGTAAAGATAGGATGGTATTCCATTCCCTCTCTCTCTCTCTCTCTCTCTCTCTCTATATATATATATATATATATATATTTCTTTATTTATTTTTTGAGACAGAGTCTCATTCTGTCACCCAGGCTAGAGTGTAGTGGCACAATCCCAGCTCACTACAACCTCTGGCTCCTGGGTTCAAGTGATTCTCACGCCTCAGCCACCCGAGTAGCTGGGATTACAGGACTGTGCTACCACACCCAGCTAATTTTTATATTTTTAGTAGAGTCAGGTTTTGCCATGCTGGCCAGGCTGGTCTCAAACTCCTGGCCTCATGCTATCTGCCTGCCTCAGCCTCCCAAAGTGCTGGGATTACAGGCATGAGCCACCACGCCCGGCTGGTATTTTAAATAGAGTGGTCAGAGAAGGCCTTTCTCATGATATTAAAACTGAACAGAGACCAGAATAAAGGAAGGGTCAGAAGGTCTTGAGGTGAAAGAGTATTCCAATCAGAAAGAAGAGCATATATAAACTCTAAGACAGAAGCTTCTGTAGTAGACAGAACAATGGTCCTTGAAAGATGTCCACATCCAATTCCCAGGACCTATGAACCTGTTATGTTATATAGCAAGAGATATTAAGGCTGCAGATGCAATTAAGGTCACTAGTCAGCTAAAGAGAGAGTAAGAAGGTCATTCTAGATTATGCAGGAGTGACCAATCCAATCGCAAGGGACCCAAAATGTGGAAAACAGAGGCTTAAGAAGGGTGGCAGATGACTATGGAAGAATGGTTAGAGATGCAATGTAGCTGCTTTTGAAGATGGAGGAAGGGAGACAAGAGCCAAGGAGTGTGGACAGTGCCTAGGGATTGGTAAATTAAAGTGAAGGCTTCTCCCCAAGAACATCTAGACAGGAACAAAGCCCTAGGGACACCCTGATTTTTGTCCAGTGAGATGTGTCAGACTTCAGATCTGAAGAACAGAAAGATAATTGTTTGTTGTTTAATCTGCTAAGTGTGTGGTCACTGGGTGACAGCAACAGGCAATACAGTGTCCTTGGCAGGATGGAGAAACAGCAGGGAGTACAACGTGGCTGGAAAATGGAGATGTAGTCAGAGAGGCAGTAGGGGATGAAGAGCAGATCAAGGGTCTCTAAAAGGCACTTAAAGCAGTTGTAACATTAACACAAATAAGAAGCCATAAAGGCTTTTAAGCTGAGGAATGGCAATCTGACTTACATTCCCTAAGGATCACTTTGGCTGCTATGAGGAAAACAGATGTCAGGGTGGGAAGAGGGGGTGGGGGAGCAGGACAACCAGCAGGAAGGAGGTAAGAATCCAGGAAACAGGTTTGGCCATTTATACCAGGGCAATGGAGTTGGGCAATGGACAGAAGTAAAACAGATGGAAGGGTCACGTACAAGGATGCATCGTTGCTTGGTTCTTACCTGAATTCCCTTCTCTTTGGGTTGCTGTCTCCATGATCCAAAACTTTTCTTCTCTTTGGAAGTGAAAAGTATCTCGGTGGGAAAGTTGATGCCCTGTGAACAAAGTCACATGCTTAATCCCAATACATCTTAGGTAAAATTTACTAGAAATTTAGGTTCTCACTGCACACTCGAACTTGAACACTGATATGGTTTGGCGGTGTCCCCAAATCTCATCTTGAATTGTAGTTCCCATAATCCCCACATGTCATAAGAGGGAGCTGGTGGGAGGTAATTAAATCATGGGGGCAGTTTCCTCCATGCTGTTCTCGTGATAGTGGATGAGTTCTCACGAGATCTGATGGTTTTATTTTATTTATGTTTTTTGTTTTTGTTTTTGTTTTTGTTTTTTTTTGAGACGGAGTCTCGCTCTGTCGCCCAGGCTGGAGTGCAGTGATGCGATCTCGGCTCACTGCAAGCTCCGCCTCCCAGGTTCACGCCATTTACCCGCCTCAGCCTCCTGAGTAGCTGGGACTACAGACGCCCGCCACCACGCCCGGCAATTTTTTTTGTATTTTTAGTAGAGACGGGGTTTCACCGTGTTAGCCAGAATGGTCTCCATCTCCCAACCTCGTGATCTGCCCTCCTTGGCCTCCCAAAGTGCTGGGATTACAGGCATGAGCCACCGCGCCCGGCCCTATCTGATGGTTTTATAAGGGGCCTTTTCCCCTTTGCTCGGCACTTCTTCCTGCTGCAATATGAAAAAGGTGCCTTTCTTCCCATCGGCTTTCCACCATGACTGTAAGTTTCCTGAGGCTTTACCAGCCATGCAGAACTGTGAGTCAATGAAATGTCTTTTCTTTATAAATTACCCAGTCTTGGGTATTTCTTCATAGCAGCATAAGAACAAACTAACACAAACACCCTAGGATACAAAGCCATTCCTGGGGCCTGATGTTCCATTACAGAGGGTGCCTGTGCTCACCCACTGATAGCAGGTTTCTGAAGTTCTCCAGCATGACATCTCGATACAGCTTCCTCTGGGAAACGTCCAGCAGCCCCAGCTCCTCCTCGGTGAAGACCACAGCCACATCCTTGAAGGTCACTGCCTCCTACAACAACAAACGTATGCAATCTCAATCTCATGACCAGTGATTCCTGGGAGAAGGGTGGCAATGAGCAGGTGAAGGGGATGGGTGAGAAGTTGCTGTGGATCTTGAAAGATGTAGGTCAACATACAGATTTCCCATTCATTCTGTCTGTATCCTCGCAATGACACTGATTTTCCAGAGCTCCACCAGAAGTGCAATGATGAAAAAGTCCCATAGGTTTACTTTGTGCACTTATTAAGTCTCCTTGTAAGTAACCCTCTAGGACTCTAAATGCAGCATCCTGGGCTGCACATATATAGGTTTCAATGAATCTTGCCAGTTGCTCCAGCAACATTTAGCAATTCAGTCTTAACTTTGTTTGACAATGCCCAGGGTTCTCGTACTTGAACCCTGGATGTAATCATTTTTCTTTCTTTCTTTTTATTTTTTGAGACAGAGTCTCACTCTGTCGCCCAGGCTGGAGTGCAGTGGTGCGATTTCAGCTCACTGCAACCCCTGCCTCCTGGATTCAAGCAATTCTCCTGCCTCAGCCTCCTGAATAGCTGGGATTATAGGCACCTGCCACCATGCCCAGCTAATTTTGTATTTTTAGTAGAGACCATGTTGGCCAGGCTGGTCACGAACTCCCGACCTCAGGCGATTTGCCGGCCTCGGCCTCCCAAAGCGCTGGGATTACAGGCATGAGCCACCACACCCGGCCCATTTTTTTTTTAATATCTGCCAAACTAACAAGTTTACAGTGACCTGTGTGGGACAGCCATGGAGTGGGTCCTCTGTATTCAAGACGCAAACTACATATATTAATTGCAGCACTGAATGTCATGATCTGGAGCCAGTGTGCCTATGATCACACTGAGTGTGTGTGCTCACTCACAAGGCTCAATCCCAAGGCTCTGTGCCTTTGCCTTCCCAGCCACGTGACCTTGGATAAGTTTGCCTACATGCATTCGTTTCCTTTCTGTATAAAGACTGTCACATCAGTTTTCTCCAGGAATAAGCAAGAGAATATAAATGGGGAAAGTCTGTGGCACAGACTAGGTATTTAATTAACATTAGTTAATTTTATTACCTTTTTGTCTTTTTTTTGAGACGGAGTTTCGCTCTTGTTGCCCAGGCTGGAGTGCAATGGCGCAAACTCAGCTCACGGCAACCTCCACCTCCCCAGTTCAAGCAATTCTCCTGCCCCAGCCTCCTGAATAGCTGGGATTACAAGCATGCGCCACCATGCCCAGCTAGTTTTGTATTTTTAGTAGAGATGGGGTTTCTCTTTTTTTGCTGTTTTTTGTTTTGTTTTGTTTTGTTTTTTTTGAGATGGAGTCTCACTCTGTCCCCAGGCTGGAGTGCAGTGGTGCAATCTCAGCTAACGCAAGCTCCGCCTCCTGGGTTCACACCATTCTCCTGCCTCAGCCTCCCGAGTAGCTGGGACTACAGGCGCCCACCACCACACCCGGCTAATGTTTTGTATTTTTAGTAGAGACAGGGTTGCATCATGTTAGCCAGGATGGTCTCGATCTCCTCACCTCGTGATCCGCCTGCCTTGGCCTCCCAAAGTGCTGGGATTACAGGCATGAGCCACCACACCCGGTGGAGATGGGGTTTCTCCATGTTGGTCAGGCTGGTCTCAAACTCCCGACCTCAGGTGATCTGCCCACCTCAGCCCCGCAAAGTGCTGGGAATATGGGCGTGAGCCACCGCACCTGGCTGGTAATGTCCTTTATTCGTATTTCTTTGGATTTTTTATTATAACTTTCATTATAGTTATCTATTTCATTTCATGTCTGCATACTATTACAGGGAACTGATGATCTATCTTTATTCTAAATAATGAATATTTAATTTTATGTAGTTTTCATTAATACCAATCCTGCAAAGAAAATCATGTATGTGGACCTTACTCTCCCGTCTGATCATTGAAAATAATTTTGGCCAGGTATGGTGGCTCATGCCTGTAATCCCAGCACTTTTGGAGGCCGAGACAAGCAAATCATTTGACCTCTGGAGTTCGAGACCAGCCTTGGCAACATAGCAAAACTCCGTCTCTACAAAATATACAAAAATTAGCCGAGCATGGTGGCACGTGACTATAATCCCAGACACTTGGGAGGCTGATACAGAAGAATCGTTTGAACCCAGGAGGCGGAGGTTGTAGTGAGCCAAGATTGCGCCACTGCACTCCAGCCTGGGCAACACAGCAAGACTCTATTTCAAAAAAGAAATAAAATAAAATAATAATTTAGTTTAATTTAATAATTTCAAACCAGGTGCAGTGATTCACACCTGTAATCCCAGTGCTTTAAGAGGCTAAGGTGGGGGGATTGCTTGAATTCAAGAGTTCAAGACCAGACCAGGCAACACAGCAAGACACCAACTTTATAAATTTTTAAAACTAGCCAGGCATCGTGGTGCGTGCCCGTAGTCCTAGCTACTTGGGAGGCTGGGGCAGGAAGATCTGGACCCCAGGGGTTCAAGGCTGCAGTGGGCTACACTTACATCACTGTACTCTATCCGAGGCAACAGAGCAAAACTCTGTCTCTAAAGAATAAGAATAAACTATAATACAATAATTTCAAATGAAAATTAAAGTGTCAAAAAATAAGAATGTTTAAAATTGTGATCATATATGTCAGATCTCAATTTTTTCTCAAACTCCAAAATCTTTCAAGGGGATATATTACCCTGGTTTTTCTTAAAATAGCCAAAAGCAGATTATCAAATTTCCTGTGATTTTGATAATCTCATTAGAGAGAATTCACCTTATTAATCCCATGTATTTGAATATAAATAATACTATCACCTTTTCAAATATGTATTGGCCACTTCTATTTCTTCTCTAAAATTTACCAATTAATGTATTAATGTCCTTTATTCATATTCCTTTGAATTTTTTTCTCCATTCTGTACATAAGATTCTTATTTTGGATTATGTCTTTTTTAGATATCAAAGTGGTAAATATTTTCACCTTAGGCTGTTATATTCCCTGGTAACACTCTATAAGCCATCTTTGCCATTAGGAATTTAAAGATTTTCTATAGTGAGTGTAGCAATCACTGTCCTTTGGTGCCTGGAGTACTAGGTGCACCTGAGGAGGTGGCACAACAGGAAGAGAAGAGGACCCCCGAGGAGGGGTCAGGGAGGAGCTATGTCACCAGTGGTTGTCATCACTCAAGAGGGCACTCCAGACACCCATACCAGAAGGCATAGGTCCTTCAATGGAGAATCCTCTTTCTTCTTCTCTCTCTCTTTCAATTTAGCAAAATAGCTAACATGCCGACCCTAGGTTTCCTCTCTGAACCTCAGCAGGTTTCTCATATTTCACATATTTAAGAGGAAGATGAGGCTGAGAACTGCATCATTCAGCTGTTCTGAGGAACAAACAAAGGAATAGAACACAGTGACTAGAGAATCTTCTGATATCATGGACATTTGAAACTAAAGCTACCAAAACTAAAAAACTAAAAAAAAAAAAAAAAAAAAAAAAGACAGAAAAATGATTACATCCAGGGTTCAAGTACGAGAACCCTGGGCATTATCAAACAAAGTTGAGACTGAATTGCTAAATGTTGCTGGAGCAACTGGCAAGATTCACCGAAACCGATATATGTGCAGCCCAGGATGCTGCATTTTGGTCAAACTCCTTAATACATAAAGGAATAAGAAAAGACCAGTAAATAACATACACACAATGCATGACTTAAGCATGGGGAAAACAAAAGCTAGCTCTTCCTATGTGAAAATCTCCAGAAATCCTTGTGTGAAGCCACAGTTACAGCCTGCTGTGCCATGCCACATATGGATATTTTATCTACAAAACAACCAACGTGGCACATGTCAAAAGTACTCTTTCAAAACTGAGCTCCTAGTGCCTGTGAGTATAAAGTAGTTAAAAAGAAACATCGGCAGGTGCAGTGGTGCACACCTGTAATCCCAGCACTTTGGGAGGCTGAGGCAGGCAGACCACTTGAGGCCGGGAGTTCAAGACCAGCCTGGCCAACATGGTGAAACCCCGTCTCTACTAAAAATACATATATTAGCCAAGTGTGGTGGTGAGCGCCTGTAATCCCAGCTACTTGAGAGGCTGGGGCAGGAGAATCGCTTGAACCCGGGAGGCGGAGGTTGCAGTGAGCCGAGATTGCGCCACCACACTCCAGTCTGGGCAACAGAGCAAGGCTCTGTCTCGAGGAAAAAAAAAAAAAAAGGAGCATCAATTCAATGGGAACATGATGCAACCATAAATAATGAATATTACATAATATTAAACACAAAGAACACAATTTAAATTAGATAAGTATCAATACAAATACAGTTATGAATATACATGAGGAATAGCATGAGAAAATAAAAATGCCTAATTAGTGAGAAAAGATGTAGTGAAATGGGAGAATTGTTCCTTCCCACTAAATTTCTACTCATAACATAAATAATGGTAAAAGTAAACAAAATCAAATCCAAACGCAAATTCAACACAAAAGAAACAAGGAAGCATCTGGCACACAACAGGTGCACAAATAACTGTTGTTCTCCTTGAGTCTTCCCAAGACCGAGAAAAACATGTGACAATCTTAAGTAGCAAAACAGAATCTGAACAGCAAAAGAGACCAGACTTACTCACCTTGAACATGGTCATTTTTCCTCCTTCTTTGGGGAATTTGCAGAGTTCTCAGTTATGCAGTTCAAGAGAAGACAGAATTGTGCCTGAAACATGCCATGGAAGGCAAAAAAAAAAAAAGAGACATGAAGGGGTGGTCAGTGATGCCACCCAACAGTATGAACATGTGTTGTGAATTAGCACTTGAATGTTCACAGGGGCATTATTCATAATAACCCAAAATTGCACACAACCAAAATGCCTTCCTATGGGTAAATGGACAAATTGTCGCCTATCCATACAATGAAATCTTACTTGGAAATTTAAAGAAATGAAATATTGACTCATGCTACAACATGCATGAACCCTGGAAACATTATGTTAAATGAAAGAAGGCAGTCACAAAAACCCATGGACTGTGTGATCGCATTTATATGAAATGTTCAGAATAGGCAAATGTATCATAGAGAAAGTAGATTAGTGGTTGCTTCACATTTGAGATGAGAATGAGGTTTAACTATAAATGGGCACAAGGAGTCCAACTGGGAGATAAAAATGATCTAAACTGAATCATGATCATGGTTATTCCACTTCACAAAATTCCTAAAAATCACGGAGTTCCATGCCTGAAATGGGTGAAAGCTATATGTGAAATACATCTTGATAGAATTGGAAAAAATAATTGTTAATCTACATGTCATTGAAATCAGTAAGACTGAATTCTGAGTCCATATCAATAGAATATTTATAGTTGAATGAAGGAATGAATAAATGGGGGAGAAATGGAAACTCTTCTTTACAGTAGAATGTCCACTAATCATGTATCTCCCCATAAGGAACTTTATTATTTTCAAAATTTAAAAAAAGTAACTTCACAGTGGACAAATCTGAAAGACTTCATCTTGGCCAAGTGAACAAAGTTGAGATCACCAGTGAAGGGACAAACCAACATCATTTGGACACTGTTAGGTTGCAATGAAAAGGACATCTCACCACTACTATGGTATCCCTGCCAATCATGCATACTCTAAACGTAAACATGAAATTTACCAGACAAACCCCAAATGAATGTCTTTCTGCAAAACAACTTGCCTATACTCTTCAAAAAACCATGCATATAAAAGACAAAGGCTGTGGAATCCTTCTAGATTAAACAAAAGTATAGAAATGTGACAATAAAGACAATGCATAAAATTGGACTTTGAATGGGGTTACAGGTAAAAAGTGGGGCAAGGGATAGTTATAAGGACCAAAAGAAGAAACTGAATAAATTTAAATATGGAAGCTGCAGATTAGATAACAACGTTATGTAATATGGTATCCAACACTATCTAATAAATGACACTACAACTACTATTATTAGCTTTTTAACAGATGTGATATGTAATAGATAACAATATTATTTAATATAATATTTAATTATTTTTTTGAGACAGAGTCTCACTCTGTCATCCAGATCAGAGTGCAGGGGCGCCATCTCAGCTCACTGCAGCCTCTGCCTCCCAGGTTCAAATGATTCTTATGCGTCAGCCTCCCTAATAGCTGGGATTACAGGCGCACGCCCCCTCAAATTTTAAAAAAGTAACTTCACAGTGGACAAATCAGCTAATTTTTGTATTTTTAGTAGAGATGGGGTTTCTCCATGTTGGCCAGGCTGGTCTTGAACTCCTGGCCTCAAGTGATCCACCTGCCTCGGCCTCCCAAAGTGCTACAATTACAGACATAAGCCACCATGCCTAGCCAGTATAATATCTAATAGTATCTAGCATGTTATGTGAAACCCTATAACCAGCCCTTTCTAAACACCTCTTACCAAGACACCCCACAATTATCTTGAAATGTGGGCTTCTTTGCTGCAGAAAGCTACAAGCAACTGTCTCTGGCTACAGGTATGTTCCTGGTGGTATCTGGGTGATCAGCAAGAACAAAGCAAACAGGAAAAATGTAAACATTTGGCAAATTTGGGTAAAGAGTATATGAGAATTTCTAACACTATTTTTGCAATTTTTCTATAGGTTTCAAATGATATGAAAATAAAACGTTAAATATTTTTTTTTTTTGAGACCGGGAGGCAGAGGATGCAGTTTCGCTCTTGTTGCCCAGGCTGGAGTATAATGGTGCAATCTTGGCTCACTGCAACCTCCGCCTCCCGGGTTCAAGCGATTCTCCTGCCTCAGCCTCCCGAGTAGCTGGGATTACAGGCATGCGTCACCATGTCTGGCTAATTTTGTATTTTTAGTAGAGATGGAGTTTCTCCATGATGGTCAGGCTGGTCTCAAACTCCCGACCTCAGGTGATCCGCCCACCTCGGCCTCCCAAAGTGCTGGGATTACAGGCGTGAGCCACCATGCCCGGCCAATATCAGGAAACATTTACCAAAAAAAAAATGAGATAACGATGAGATAAATTAGGATGAGCATGATATAACATGTAAGTTCACTAGCTATTTCCCTCTTGGCAGTGTTTCCAAATTTCCATAGTTAAACACATAAGGGAAAACACATTTTTTTAATCATAAAATTTTGTTTAAATGTTTATAAATAAATATGCAAATATGCCAAAGAAAGACCAAAAAGAAATGCACCGGGTGCGGTGGCTCACGCCTGTAATCCCAGCACTTTGGGAGGCCGAGGCTGGTGGATCATGAGGTCAGGAGATCAAGACCATCCTGGCTAACACGGTGAAACCTCATCTCTACTAAAACTACAAAAAAATTAGCCGGGCGTGGTGGCGGGCGCCTGTGGTCCCAGCTACTCACACAGGAGGCTGAGGCAGGAGAATGGCGTGAACCTGGGAGGCGGAGTTAGCAGTGAGCCGAGATCGTGCCACTGCACTCCAGCCTGGGCAACACAGTGAGACTCTGTCTCAAAAAAAAAAAAAAAATGCACTCGAAGTTTAACAGTTACTATCTTTACATGCTGGATTCATGGGTAATTATAAACTTGTACTACTCGTATTTCTCCAATTTCTGAACGCTCCACAATCATACCGCTGCATAACAAGTGAAATATTTGTAATAAATGAAATAGTTCTAATGAATGAAATAGTTGATAAACTCCCAGAACAGTCCAAGCCCATAAGCCTTGCTCTCAAGGCTCCCTTCAATCAAGTCCTAGCTTGCTTTCCCCACTAGATTCCAGCTAGTTCCTCTGCCTCAATGAGAATGTATCCAAAAGATTATCAACTAAGGCTCTGACCTGTAACGCCCAGGTTTCAACCGCAGCTCCACCTCTTACTGCTTAGGTGACTATTCTCAGATAACTCCTGCTCCTTTGTATCTCACTCATCTTTAAAACTGAAAAAAGTAGTACCTCTCCACAGAGCCACGGTGTGGCGAAAATGTGACTACTTGTATAAAGCTCTTGGGATAAAGTTACCAATTGAGGCTTAATTATTATCAACACCCATGCCTGAGGACACATCCTACACTCTTGGTCGGGGTGAGCATCTCTGTAAAAGAAAAAAAGCCAAGGACCACTCTCGTGGAACTTTGCCCTCAGTAGCCAAGAAGTCCCTCCCTGCAGCTCTTTTTGAGAATCAGGCTGGGGAAGGAGAAAGCTGTGAAACACCCTGACCGCATTGCCGTCCGGCATAAAAGTTAAATGTTCCTCTCCCTTCGTGGAAATGGAAACAACCCTCGCCTTCCTAAAAAGAGGTCAGAAGCGTCCGGGATCACCCAGCGTCCTGCAGGAATCAGAGACAAGGGCGGGGATCCCTGCAGATGGAGCTCTGACCCCACCCGGGGACCTGACAGGCTTCGTGGGAAATAAACACTAAGAAGAGACCACCAGTCACTAAGGGAGGGGCTGCTTTAAGGCTTTCATTTGTGTTACCTCTTCCAGTTCCCAAAACGATTTCATTAGGATGGTCCTAAAGTCCCCATTTTAAAGAACAGCAGTGGGAGGTACAGGGAGATTAATAACATCCCAACCCTAAATTGTGAGAAAGTAGCCTCACAGGTGGGATGGAGGGAGGCGGACTGAGCGAGCTGAGAGCCCCAAAAACCCTCAAACCAGGCGAGACGCGTCCCGACCAAGTCCCAACCCCCAGCCTCATGCCCGGGGACGCGAGGACAGCCCCAAGACCAAGAAGGCTCCGCTGACAAGAACGAAAAGAGAGGCCGTTGTCCCTCCAAACCTCCGTTTTCCAACGAGACTCCTTCTCCCCTTAGTCAACTTCCAGGTGGTTGCGAGCCAGCATCGTAAGGGGACACGTTTAGAAGGACCGACAAGACACAGGACTGACACCAAACTACCACCGAATGCACTGCAGCAACCTCGCCCCCCGGGAGCGGAAGTGCCCCTACCCCGCGCAGCGTGTGAACTACATTTCCCAGAATTCCCCGGATACGCCGTCCTGAGCCTACTTGCTCGTCATTCAACAGATCTCCTGCGCTACACTTCCTTGAATCTCAAAGGAGACGTTCTATAGTATCACCTTCCGGCGGGAAGCGTGGGACTCCGCGGTGCTCTTTGACTACACTTCCTGCAATGCCCACGAGGAATGAATCCCATAGACCCAAGCGCCTGGTTTGGAATATGGACTGTGGCCCTGAGAGTGGTCCTTCCCTCTCCCTGCGTCCTCGAGAGAAAATATTGAATAGACAGGAATTCCTGAAGTCTACACGCCTCCCATGATGACAGGAGTGTTACTGAAAGAGAACAAAGCAAGGAGATACAATCTTCAAGGAGTTAGCGGGGAGTGACTGTGGAGCGGTCAGGAGATGGCTGAAAGGCTAATATACTAGACGCTAATAGTATGAGGCTAAATCTAAGAGCTTAAATAATGGGCCAGGAAAAATGGTTTGGGAGAGGCATTGAGTGGGGCACCAGCCCCTGGTACAACCAGACACTGTTGTACCACTGGTTTGGCAAGAAAAACAACCACAGTTTAAGTGTTTAAGAGGGCTGTAAGAGTTAAAGAGAAAAAAAAAAAAAACACGAAAAGCGGCTCAACAGTCAAAGACAGGTTCGTTTTGGAGAATAAACCGAGAGGGCCTTCTGGCCGATTGCAGTCAGGAGCGCTCTCTCTTACGGACTAAGAGTATGTATTGGCTTTAGGGAGAGAGAGCTTACCACAGGCTTAGAATGTTTCTGTATTGGGGAGAAGTCTGTTGTGGGGTTGGAATATCTCTGGTTGGAGGGGAAGTTATCTTGGGACTGACATCTCTCCAATGGAAGGGAGGTTATCTCGGTGCTGGCATGTCTCTGGTCAGGGAGGGGTTTATCTTATGGTTGGAATGTTTCTGATTGGAGATGTCATTTGTGGTTTATGGTCATGCTGACCTTAGCCATTAGGCTGATGCCCTTTGGATTTAGGCAGTTTTTGATCAACGCGAACTTTAAAATGGCAGTGTTTGTCCAAGATGGCGATGCTCCTGCCCTGTCAAGGGCCAATATGGAGGGCCAATTGCCCTCCTGGAAAAGCTATCTTCCCACTTTTAAAGTTTTCATATTAATATTCTTTAGACGTGGAAATGCCACATTTAAGAGAAATTAAACTGCTTAGTATTGTGAAAGGAAAATATCTTGGGCCCCCAAAATCACTAAGGAAATCTCAAGCTGGAAATCGCTTAGGGCAAACCTGCCTCCCATTCTATTCAAAGTCACTCCTCTATCTGTCCTTGCTATCACGAGAACAGCATGGGAAAGACCCACTCCCATGATTCAATTACCTCCTACTAGGTCCCTTTCATGATATGTGGGAATTATGGGAGCTATAATTCAAGATGAGATTTGGGTGGAGACACAGCCAAACCGTATCAGTATGTGTAGATTTCTTATTTTCCATTATTACTTAAAAGAAAGCACGTTTCTAACTCTTCTATGGTCATGTAACAACATATCCTAGAAATCACTTCATGTACAGTACATTCTTTTTAGTGCTGCGTAAACTAGAAAATCCAGAAATAAATTTCTACACCTACAGTGAGCTCATTTTCAACAAAGGTGCTAAGTATATATATTGGGAAAAGGACAGTCTCTTCAATAAATGGTGCTAGAAAAACATGATATCCACATATAGAAGAATGAAACTTCAACCCTGTTGTTCACCATATACAAAAATAAAATCGAAATGGATTAAAGACTTAAATCTAAAACCTCGAACTATGAAACTACTACAAGAAAACATTGGGGAAATGTTCCAGGACATTGGTCTGGGCAAAGATTTCTTGAGTAATACCCCAAAAGCATAGACAACCAAAGCAAAAATGGACAAATGGGATCACGTCAAGTTAAGAAGCTTCTGCACAGCAAAGGAAGCAATCAACAAAGTGAAGAGACAACCCACACAATAGGAGAAAATATTTGCAAACTATCCATCTGACAAGGGATTAATAACCAGAATATAAGAAGCTCAAACCAAATAGGAAAAAATTTAATAAATCAATTTTAAAATGAGCAAAATATCTGAATAGACATTTCTCAAAAGAGGGCATACAAATGGCAAACAGGTATATGAAAAGGTGCTCTACATCATAGATCATCAGATAAATACAAATCAAAACTACCATGAGATATCCCACTCCAGTTAAAATAGCTTTTATTCAAAAGACAGGCAATATCAAATGTTGGTGAGGATGTGGAAGGAGTGAAGGAGGGAATCCTCGCACATTGTTGGTGGGAATGTAAATTAGTAGAACCACTGCGGAGAACAGTATGGAGGTTCCTCAAAAAATTAAAACTATATCAAAGTGATATCTGCACCCTCCCCTGCAATGTTTATTGCAGCACTATTCACAATAACCAAAATTTGGAAGCAACCTAAGTATGCATCAACAGGTGAATGGATACAGGAAATGGACATATACACAATGGAGTACTATTCAGCCACAAAAAGAATGAGATTTTGTTATTTGCAACAATATGGATGGAATTGGAAGGACATTACATTCAGTGAAATAAGTCAGGCACAGAAAGACAAACTTCACATCTTCTCACTTATTTGTAGGAGCTAAAAATTAAAACAATTGAATGCATGGAGACAGAGAGCAGAATGTTGGTTACCAGAGGGAGGGAAAGTTAAGGTTGGTGGTGAGGGAAGTGGGGATGGTTAGTGGGTACAAAACTATGCTTAGATAGAATGAATAAGATCTGGTATTTGATAGCACAACAGAGTTACAGTCAATAATAATTTATTGTACATTTGAAATAACTAAACGAGTACGGATTGTTTCTAACACACACAAAAATCTGATAAATGCTTGTGGTAACAGATACCCCATTTACCCTGATATGATTATTATGCATTGTATGCCTGTATCAACATATATACTCCATATGTGTACCCATAAAAATTAGGATTTTTTTTTTTTAGGCTGAGTGCAGTGGCTCATGCCTGTAATCCCAGCACTTTGGGAGGCTGAGGTGGGCAGATTACTTGAGTGCAGTAGTTCGAGACCAGCCTGGGCAACATGGAGGAACCTCATCTCTATAAAAAAATACAAAACTTAACCAGAGGCTGTGGTGCACGCCTGTAGTCTCAGCTGCTCAAGAGGCTGAGGTGGAAGGATGGTTTGAGCCCAGGAGGCCACCACATCCAGCTAGTTGTATTTTTAGTAAAGACAGACTTTCACCATGTTGGCCAGGCTGGTCTTGAACTCCTGGCCTCAAGTAAACTGCCCACCTCAGCCTCCCAAAGTGCTGGAATTACAGGCATGACACTGCACCCAGCCCTTTGCCCATTTTTTTAATTGAGTGGTTTCTGTTATTGAGTTGTAAGAATTCTTTATATAATCTGGATAGTAGAACTCATGCTGTATGGTCTTTTCATGTTCATGACAATGTCCATGTATGCACAGCATTTTTTAAAACCTAGGTCCCATTTAGGTATTTATATTTGCTTTTGCTTATGTTGTTTCATTGAAGAATCCATTCCAAATAAAGTCAGGAAGATTTACTTCTATGTTTTCTTCTAATACTTTTATAGTTTAGCTGTTACATTAGGTCACTGATGAATTTTGAGTTAACTTTTAAGTGTAGGGTGAGGTACAATCTAACTTCATTATGTTGTGTGTCTGTGTATAGGTGTCCCAGCAGTATTGGTCGAAGAGACTATTCTGTCTCCATAAAGTAATCTTGGATCCTTCTTGAAAATCAAGTGGCCTTAGATGTATGGGTTTCTTTATGGACTCTCACTTCTATTCCATTTGTATATATATCTGCCTCCTGGGTTGAAGCGATCCTCCCACTTCAGCCTCTCCAGTAGTCTCCAGCTGGGACTACAGACATACACCAACACAACTGGCTAATTATTGTATTTCTTGTAGAGATGGGGTTTCTGATGTTCACTGAGAAATCTAAAAATAATGCATACAATTATAAAATAGAAAAATACCAGCAAATATTCACTGCTGAAGAAAATAAGAATATAATTGTAACACACTATGTATGTACACTCAAAAAAAAAATTCCAGAAACACAGAGAGATGCTTGTCTAGAAACAAAGAAAGGTATTTATTTAATTTTTTTTTTTGGAGACAGGGTCTCACTCTGTTGCCCTGGCTGGAGTGCAGTAGCACTACCATAGGTCAGTGCAGCCTCAATCTTCCAGACTCAAGCAATGTAAGGATGCAGCAAAAATACAAAGACACATGTGGCTGACATTCTAGTGGTCATCAATTTTGACATGTTCATCATTAGTGTTTTGAAAGTGTGTGAACAAACTCTTATACTAAGACCTGTCTCCTGAATAATAACTAATTGTCAAACTTCTGTTAGAAACCCTGCAGCATTCTCTGCTCTGACAGTCCCACGACCACTGGGGTATGCTGAGCTATGGCTGAAACACTAACTTCAAACTGTCCTCAATCACATGGGGAAGCTTAAAAAGCTGATTTCTTAGAAGTAGTGAGAACAGTGGCTCTAGAGGCAGGGAAGGGTAAGGGATAGGTGGGATGGCCAAAGGTTGGCTAATGGATGCAAAAGTACAGGTAGATAAGAGGAAGAAGTTCTGCTGTTCTGCAGCACTAAAGGTGACTATCATCGACAACAATTTATTTTCAAACTGCTGGAACAATGAATTTTTAATTTTCTCAACACAAAAAAGAGATAATTGAGGTGATAAATGTGCTAATTACACTGATTTGATCATTATACATCATATACATATATTTAAATATCACACTGTACCCCATAAATATGTACAACACTTACGTGTCATTTAAAAATAATGATAAAATTATATCAAGATTCAAGCGCCTCTTGTAGCGCTTCCCACAGTCTTCACATTTGGATGGATTTTCTCCACTGTGGTTTTTTTGTTGGTCTTTACGGTATGACCGGTATACAAGCTTCTTTCCACAATCCTCACATTTGAATGGTTTTTTTCGGCAATGGAGTCTCTTATGATTCAAAATACTTGAGGCCTGTCTAAAGCTCTTCCCACAGTCATCACAGTTATAAGGTCTCTCTCCTGTGTGGGCTCTATGGTGCAAGTCAAGACCTGACTTAGTAATGTAGCTCTTCCCACACTTGTCACATTTGTATGGCTTTTCTCCAGTGTGGACTCGCTGATGGATCAAAAGATAGGAGGACCGTCTGAAGCTCTTCCCACATTCTTTACAATTATATGGTTTCTCTCCTGTGTGGATCGTCTGATGCTTACACAAATCCAGCCTACGAATGAAGCCTTTTCCATATTCCCCAGTGCTGTTTGGTTTCTTTCCTGTGTGGACCACACAATGCCTATTAAGACTTGACCTAAGACGGAAGCTCACACTACATATCTCACATTTGAATGGCTTCTCCCCTGTGTGAATTCTCTGATGTTTCTGAAGCTGGAAATCATGAATGAAGGCCCTCCCACATGCCTCACAATTATAATGTTTCTCTCCCATGTGTAATTTGCAATGAACTGTAAGTGCTGATCTACATCTGAAGCCTCTCCCACATTGTTCACATTTGAAAGGTTTCTCTCCAGTATGGACTCTCTGATGAGTTTGCAGATGTAAACTCTGACTGAATTCCTTACCACACACGTCACACTTAAAGAGTTTCTCTCCCAGGTGGACTCTCTGATGAATATGAAGCGCTGAGATGTAACAGAAGCTTTTTCCACACTCATCACAGGAATGAGACTTCTCTGCTGAGCGTATTTGCTGAGGAAGATCAAAGATGGACATATCACTGAAGGATTGTTTACACTTCCCACAATTGGAAGGTTTCTGTCCTGTGTGCATTATAGATAGTCCTTCCTCAACCTGGGAGTGGGCATCACCCTGTTCAAAGAACTGAGAGCTCTTTATGGTAGAGTCTTGAGGCCTGGTTAAATCACTTGCAATTTCTTCCCAGATCTGCTGGCAGGACCACCCTTCATGTGGTCCTGCTTCTGGAAAAGTCTTCATCTCAGGTTGGATCTTGCCTCCTATCAGAATACAAAATTAAGAGATCAGGACAAGCTATGCCCTGTTCAGTGTTTTTAAGAGTTCACACTTAGGACATGGTATGAAACTTCAACGAATGTTCAGTTTGTGTTTTCCAAGTGCACCCTGGTTTCTGGTTTGCATGAGAGTAATCTAAAACCATACCATGTCACTGGGGACGGTGGCTCACACCCATAATCCCAGCACTTTGGGAGACCAAGGCACTTTGGGAAGCTGAGGCAGGCAGATCACTTGAGGTCAGGAATTCGGGACCAGCCTGACCAACATAGTGAAACCCCGTCTCTATTAAAAATACAAAAATCAGCTAGGTGTGGTGGCACACACCTATAATCCCAGATACTTGGGAGGCTGAGGCAGGAGAATTGCTTGAACCCAGGAGGCGCAGGTTGCAGCAAGCCGAGATCGTGCCACTGCACTCCAGCCTGGGCGACACAGTGAGACTCTGCCTCAAAAAAAAAAAAAAAAAAGAAAAGAAAGAAAAAAACATACCACATTTCAAATAAAAAATCATTGATAGAAATAAAAGGTTTAATAAAAAATTAATATGACACATACATTTAACCTGTTACTGTTTTTAAAATTTCCAACTCAGTCTGAAATTTTACATGATAAATTACTAAACTATTATGTACGTAATGAAATATGAATCAAAAGGAACTCTAAGGGAAAGCAGTAACATAATAAATACTTCGTATATTTGCCTGTATATTATATATCCTTATAAAGAAGTTAACCTTCCTTTCAGTTTAAGATGGCTTAAAAAACATTTTTAAAAATAAGAAAAGGAGTTAACCTAACTAAAAAGAGGTCAGGACTTTGTCCTCAGTATCTGAGAGGTAATCTGTAGAATCTTGAAGGGGCATGCCTGAGGAGAGTCTCTCTGTTTGCTTGGGGGCAAATCTTGGGTAACTCTTGACAGTGAAATAATATAATTTAGGGTTGTGACTAGCCACAGCTTTGGGGGATGGGAAATGGCAGGTGGCATTCCCCATGTCAGAAAAAATAACGATGTGATTTAATGTAGGTCTTTAGGTCACAGGGAACCAGTGGACCAAAAGACTAAATAACCACACAGGAATCAACCAACCAATTATGGCTATGTAATGGAGCCCCAATAATTACTTGGATCCCAGCACTCAGTTGAGTTTCCCTGATTGGTGGTTCCTTGTGTCTAAGTCACATGCTAATTTTGGGTATGTAACATGCCCGACTCTACTGTGAGAATACAATAGGAGATCCACATTTGGTACTTCACTGGACTCTGTCTTATTTGGTTTTTCCCCCTTGGTTAACTATAATATGCATCTTTTGCTTGTAAAAATCAGTAACTGTGAGAATAAATACATCCAGTGAGTTCTGAGGGTCTTTCTAGGAAATTATTGAATGTGAAGGTAGTTTTGAAAAACTGCCGAATTTGCACTTGGAGTGAAGTGAGAGCAGTTCTCTGTAAAATGTCCCATTAAACTTTTTAGTTTAACCCTTCATGATACTAAACATCAAACACCTTAGAATGTTTATATCTACAAATCGAAAGTATTCCTATACAAGAATTTTGCATGACACATATAAAATACTTAATCTTATTTTTCTGTTTTGATATGGATGATAAGTTGGTTATCTGAAAGAGTACAGAGACAGACAACTGCAGTTCTGAGGGGAATCTGAAAGGCTGTCCTTCCAGAGGTCCACAAAGGAGGATGCTCTTCATCAGACAATCAATGATGTGAAGAATCACTTGGAATGAAAAGAAAGCCTATGATGTAGATAAACAGGCCTTTTTAACTGTTTTTATATTCAAGACTACACATCAGTGAGCTGAAATAAAGTTAAAACCTTCAATAGACATTTATAGAAAGGAGCCAGAATGAAAATTATCACAGTGTGGAGACAAGCAGGAAAGGTGTCGTTACATGAAATGTCAGCTAAAGTCACTCACATACACCTACATGCATGAAAACTGTCCAGGTTATACTGAAAGAGGTGTTTCTTATTATGGTTCATGCTCACAAAATGTTCAAAACTTTGTCAGGATATTACCAAGTCCTGAATTAGGTAAATTTTTCTGATGGAGAGTTAAGTTCCAAAGGTTGAAACTTGGAAAATATTAATAGGTAAGTGGGTACCCATCAGTATACCTAGCCAAACTCCACCCTTAAGCCTAGAACCTCAGCCCTAAGTGAAAACAGATGACCCCATTTTTCTGCCCCAATGTTGCTTTTTTTGGCCTGCCTGCCACTATCCTGTGACCATAAAAGATTTCAGCTGGCAGAGCAACACAAGCAGCTGAGTGGCAAGGATACAAGTCGCTGAGCGGTGAGCAGAGAAGCAACTGAGTGTCGGAAAGTATGGATAGATGTGGCTAACTTCAGAAGGTGCTGCTTTGGAGAGGGGCCCAGCCACAAATGGCCTGGCTTCAGGAACATGTTGATCCCCTTCCCAGCCCCTTTCCAGCCTCCTTTTCTGCTGAGAACCACTCACCACTCAATAAAGTCTTCTGCGTTCATCACCTTTCACACAGTTCATGTGACCTGGTTCTTCCTGGATGCTGGACAAGAACCCAGGTGCCAAGAGGGCAGGGGCTGCTACCCTGATGCTCCACTGAGCTGATTGGCACTTGGCCATCCCCAGATGGCAGAGCTGAAACAGCATGGGTTGTAACATGCTTGGACACTGCTGTGGGGCGTGCATAACAGAGCCTGCTCTCGCCAGAGAGGAGCGACCAGCCAATTCCAGCATTCATTTGCTCCGGTTCCTGCACTTGCTCGCTTGCACACTCCCTCCTGCAAGGAATCGACAGCGGTGGGCTGAGTGAAACAAACCCTGAAGTTCCTGCCCGCAAAGATGGTCAAGGGAACAATCCTGTCTAATAGGTACATGGATATATTTAATACACTGTGACTTATAAATAAGAGGTCTTTAAGGAGATGGGAAGGGGTCTCAGGATGTTTCTATTTTGAGTAAGTAATTCCCCAATTCCTTCCAGGTCATAAAGCTTACTAGTTCAAAATATAGCACTAAATCTATAAAAATAAACAAAAAGCCTGTCCTTTAACTTTTTGACAATTAAATTTGCATAATGTAAAGAAAAGGGAAATACGCACATTTTTGAAGAAAGATGACCAGAAACAGAGTCAACATTCAGCTACATAACTTGTGTCCTCTCATCCTCATTCTTCCCCCTCTAAGGGAAGGAAGGAGGAACTGGAGGCAGTGAAGTGTGGGCCGACTTTGGAAAAGGCAAATGGGCTGCAGATGGGTAAATCTCTCAAAGGAAAGCTAGCTGCAAATCCTCATTCAAAAAGACTTTCTTCTCAGATATAAATATGCTCCCTATGGAAAGCTCCAGGGTAGGTCCCAGGGAAGGCATATTACTCAGTGTGGTCATGAAAAAAAAAATGCTATGCTTAGAAGTTTCCACAGGACATGGGTCAACTGCACACACATAAAACCAATCATGTCAAGGAAACCTAAGAAAGTTGAAAATGGATAAGCAGCCATCCACAGAGAAAAAAAAAATCTGTTCTGCAATATATAATCAGCCCTCCATATCCATGGGTTTGGCATCCATGGATTCAACCAACAGGACATAAAAAATATTTAGGGAAAAAAATTCCAGTTCCAAAGAGCAAAACTGGAATTTCTCACACACTGAGTCCTATGTTGAATCCTTGTGAATGAAGTGACAGGTAGGCATTGCATTTGGTATTATAACTGGTCTAGACATGATTTAAAGTATATGGGAGGATGTACATAGGTTATAGGCAAAGACTTCACATATATCAGGAACTTGAACATCTCTGGCTTTCGGTATCCATGTGGGGTCCTGAAATCAAACCCCTATGGCTTCCAAGGGACTAATATATTTCATACACTCTGGTTCATGTATTACTTATTAGCTAGCTCCATGATTCCTACAGACAGTGAAGTCCCCCCATCCATTAATTCATTCATCAGGATACCAAATATTTACAGATCCCTCCATGTACTAGGACTATTCTAGGCACTGAAGATGCAGTCATAAACAAACAGATAAACACCTTGTAGAGATTATATTTGAAAGGGAACAGGTGATCTATCAGTAAACAAAAGCATATGACACATAATACTTGCAGGCCAAGTAAAGATAGGATGGTATTTTCAATAGGGTGCTTGAAGATGACCTCTTCCATGACATTAAAACTCAGCAGACACCTGCATAAACTAACAGAGGGGGTCAGTAAGTTTTGTGGGAACAGAGGACTCCAGTCAGAGAGAAAAGCAAGTGAGGGCCCTGAGGCAGAAGCTTCTGTGGTAGGGAACATAATTGTTCCTGAAAGATGTCCACATCCAGCCTTCAGGACCTATGATTCTGACACATTACACAGCAAGGCAGATTAAGGCTGCAGATGTCATTGAAGTCACTAATCAGCTAAGCAGAAAGTAGGAAAGTCAACTTGGATCATACAGGAGTGATGAATACAACCACAAGGGACCTGAAAGGTGAAAGACATAGGCATAAGAAGAGTGGCAGAGGGAGCATGACTCTGGAAGAATGGTCAAGGATGCAATGTAGCTGCCTTCAAAGATGGAGGAATGGAAACTAGAGCCACGGAGTGTGGACAGTGTCTAGGGACTGGTAAAACAAAGTGAAGCCTTCTCCCCATGAACATCCAGAAAGGAACAAAGCCCTAAGACAGCTTGATTTTTTCCCAGTGAGATGTGTCAGACTTCAGGCCTAAAGAACAGAGAAATAATAAATGCTTCTTATTTAATCATCTAAGTTCGTGGTCATTGGGTACCAGCAACAGGTGATACAGTGTCCTTGGCAGGATGGAGAAATAAGAGGGATGACAAGGTGGCCAGAAAAGATGGAGAATGAGGGAGAGTATGGGAGATGTAGTCAAGAAGCAGTGAAAAATGAAGAGTAGACCACAGGGGTTTCTAGAAGCAACTTAAAGAGGCTTTCATAAAATTAAGAAGACAGAAAGGCTCTTAAGCTGAGGAATGACAATCTGACATCCATGTCCTAAGGATCACTTTAGCTGCCATGAGGAGAACAGATGTCAGAGTGGGAAGGCACGGAGCAGGGCCACTAGCTGGAAGGAGGTTATCATAATCCAGCAAAGATGTTTGGCCATTTAGAAGAAGGTAATGGAGTTGGACGTGCACAGAAGTAAAACAGATGGAAGTCACAAACAAGGACACACAGTTGCGTGCTTCTTACCTGAATTCCCTTCCCTTTGGGTTGCTATATCCATCATCCAAAACTTTTCCTCCCTTAGAAAGTGGAAAGTATCTCGGTGGAATGGTTGATGCCCTGTAAACAGGAAAAGTCACATGCTTAATCCCAACATATTCTAGATAATATCACGGTAACACTTATTGGAAATTTAGGTTCCCACTGCACACTCAAACTTGAACACCCTAGGATACAAAACCACTCCTGGGGCCTGACATTCCCTTATAGAAGATGCCTGTCCTCACCCACTGACAGCAGGTTCCTGAAGTTCTCCAGCATCACATCTCGATACAGCTTCCTCTGGGCAAGGTCCAGCAGCCCCAGCTCCTCCTCAGTGAAGACCACTGCCACATCCTTGAAGGTCACTGCCTCCTACAGCATCAAACATATGCAACCTCAATCTCACTACCAATGGTTACTGGGAGAGAAGGAACATTGAGGAGGCCAAGAGGAAAAATGGAAAGTTTTTCAGGATCTTCAGAGATGTAGGTCAACTTATAGAATTCCCATTCATTCTAGTCTGTGTCCTGACAATGACACACCTTGATTGTCCCAAGCGTCATCAGAAGTCCAACGACAAAGAAGTCTTGTGGTCTTATTTAGTGAACTCATTGAGTTTACTTGTATGTAGCCCCCTAGGAGTCTAAATGCTGCATACTGGGCTACACGTATATAGGTTTCAATGAACCTTGCTAATAGTCCCAGCGACAGTGAGCAATTCAGTCAGTATCTGCCCGACCTGGCAGCCGGTTGATGAGGCTGTGGCTGTGAAACCCCAATCTCAGTATTCCCAATAATTATTTTTCCTTTTCCCCTTTATAATGCACATCCTGTTGGTAATTTGCGGTTCAGATCACCGCGGTAACTGACAAAGGTCCTCCTGACTCTAATCTGGAGGTGATGCTTTCCTGAACATCCCCTGACTTCTATGGGATCCCACAGTGGTGAAGAATGAGACCACGGAATACCATAGGGGTCACCAGGGTCCTTCTGATGGTACTGGGGACACCTGATCCCATTTGGGTGGCTGGCACTAGCAGGCATTTTTTGTATAGGACGTGACGTCCCTTCCTGACTGAACAACTGAGGCAGGAAGGTCTGAGCCAAACAACCAGGGGAATGGATGTCTACAATGGTAGTAGCCTCAGGACAGGGACAGACAGACTGGGTCGCTGCACCACCTCAGCCCACCCACTATCCAACAGCTATTAATCTGCTGTTCCCCCAAGGATATGGCAGCAGAGGCCTGGAAGCACAGCACATTCCTTATCTCAAGCTGCAGTCACCTCATGTCACCTGGCTAAGTGTTCCATCTGCTACCCTGCATTTATTCTATCACCAACCACAGTGACCCTCTCATCCTGACTATGGTAAACCACACCAGCATCCTTCATGCCACAGTGCACACCAACAGCTCCATAACCCTGGCTTGTCACGTCAGAACCTGGCACCTGCCACATGAGAGAGAGCTGGAGGGCCCTGTGGTAACTGGTGTAAGGCAGCAGAATCACACAACCTCAACAAAGCTACAGTGGACTGTGCTTTCTCGCACCATGTTCCTTTGATTACCTGGATGAGAAATGTTCCACATAATGAAAACCAGGACTGGATGAGTGGTATTCCTCTCTGTAAGGGCCGCATGAATGTCATACTGGGGGAACTGACCTTATGCAACTGTGCCAAAAATGAGATGTGGCTGGCAAAAGATAATGTCCCCATTCCCACAAATGGGTCACAGAACACCCAAACAAGGGAATGGGTGCTGTGTGCACCTGAGCCTTATGGCTTTCTCTGTGGTTGGTTTGGAGGGTGACCCAGATACAGGGTGGGCAATGTCATGCCTGGAAAGCTGGCAGACTGTTAGATCCCAAACATTAGGCATGCTGGGGGTGCCCCTAGATGTCACCCTGGAAGCGAGATGCACCACTGGGCAAGAAGGCTAAAGCTGTGCCCCAGGCTGACTGGGGACCTGCCTGGAGGTGCAGCTAGCTCCAGATTTATGTCCTACACCTACAAGTGAATTCCCATGAAAAATGATGAGACACCTGCCATAGGCAATGGCCGATAGATACTGTTTATTCCACGGCCACTGCCTTGGGAGCCCAGCAACATCCCTTCACTCCCTCAGGAAGGTTCAAAAAACACAAGTGCTCTGTGCTTTTAGCCCTACTGGGAGGAGTGGGTCTGCAACTGCCAACACCTCCGGCCTTCTCTGGATACATAGCTATTGTAAAAACTCAATGAGAGGCAACCCAGAAGCAGGTCCACTGGCTTCAGACACTGGGGCCACCTGAATGATTCTTCTTTGGTATCTTCAGCAGCTTCTTATTTTGATAACTGGGACCTGGGCAGGATTACTACTTCAGGAAGGTCTGGCTGTGCTGCTTGTGGTCATGCTCCTCTGGGGTCCACGGAATGTATTCCAGCTATAATTCCATGAAGTTGGCAGAGATTGTGTCAGTCAAGGTGTTACACTGATCTAACAAGATCAGGGGAGGCCAGGGGAGGTCGATGGACATATGAAATGGACCAGTTTGCTAAGAGGGATATCTGGGTCAGGGGATGGACTGCAGGACAGTTGGGGTGCAGACCCCACCCAGCTCTCTCCCCTTTATTGCTTGTAGTTCTCAAGAATAACTGTAGATTATTCTAAGAATGCAATATTATGGGGAGGAACTGCCTTTGACAGTCTGGGCTTTGTTCCTCTCTCACCTGGAAGGAAGATGACCTTCAAGTTTTTCTCCATGAGTCATGGCACCCTGAAGTATATAAATGGGGGCAGGTTACCTTCTGGGGTGCCTCAGCTCTGGTGCAAGTGGGGCACATACAGTCAAGATTCCATCTGCTCCAGGTAGCTTTCTTGAGCCCTGGATGGCCAGCTCATACTGGACCCTAGGCTTCTGGGCTCGCCTGCTGCCAATCTGTAGTAATAAATCTGCTTCATGCAATCTGTTGCGTGTGAATGTGTTCTGTCCCACAGGACTCACACGAGTTGGTAATCAGTGCACAGTGAACCTGCTCCATGGTACCCTGAGACAGTTATGCAGTGTGTCTTCTGTACTCGCAAGGCACAAACCACATATGCTTATTGCAGCATTTAGTGTCCTGATCAGAAGCCAGAATGCCTCAGTGCACATTCTGAGAGTCTGCCCATTTCTAACCATGTGACCTCAGACATGTTTTCCTACAAGGCTTGTTCCCTCTCTGAATAATAGTTCTTACATGACAAGAGTTTTTTCAAGAATTAAGAAAAGAAATATACGGTATTTTGAAAAGTCTACGGCACAGACTGTTTAATGAACATTAGCTGGTATTACTTATTACTGTTATTACCATTATCTATTTCAGGGTTCCATAGTATTCCAGGGAACTGATGATCTATTTTTAGCTACACTAAATAATAAATATTTAATTTCACATATTTTCCATTATCAGTCCGGCCAAGATGATATGGTAAGTAGTAAGATGTAAGAACATCTGACTCTGTCTCATTTAAAATAATTTCATATGAAAATTAAAATGTGAAAAATAAGCACATTTAATATTATCATTATATAATTGCATACTTTCTTCTCACTTTTTTCCCTACCTCTCTAATCATTCAACAGAATACAAGTACCCTAATTCTCCTTATGATAGCCAAGAGCAGTTTATAAATATTCCCATGGTTTTGTAATCTGATTAGGAAGAACAATTCATTCTATCATTCTCACTTATTATTATAAATGAGTATCACCACTTTTCAAGATTATTGGCGATCTCTATTTCTTCTTTTACAATTGCCTTTTAGTATTCTTTGTTCCAATCTGTTTGAACTTTTTTCTTTATCCTTTTAGAAGATTCTTATTCTGGATTTATTCTTCCTTAACTATCCAAGGGGTAAATATTTTTGCCCCAGGTTGTCATTTTTTCTGGTAACAATGTGTGAGGCGGGCCGGGCACGGTGGTTCACGCTTGTAATCCCAGCACTTTGGGAGGCCGAGGCAGGCAGATCATGAGGTCAGATCGAGACCATCCTGGCTAACACGGTGAAACCCCGTCTCTACTAAAAACACACAAAAAAATTAGCCGGGTGTGTGGTGGCGGGCGCCTGTAGTCCCAGCTACTCGGGAGGCTGAGGCAGGAGAACGGCGTAAACCCGGGAGGCAGAGCTGGCAGTGAGCTGAGATCGCAACACTGTACTCCAGCCTAGGCAACAGAGAGAGACTCTATCTCAAAAAAAAAAAAAAAAAAAAAAAAAATGGTGAGGCATTTTATGCCATAAGGAGGAATTTAGGGATTTTTTTTTTTTTTTTGAGACAGAGTCTCACTCTGTCACTCAGGCTGGAGTGCAGTGGCGCGATCTCGGCTCACTGCAAGCTCCGCCTCCTGGGTTCACGCCATTCTCCTGCCTCAGCCTGCCGAGTAGCTGGGACTACAGGCGCCCGCACCACGCCCGGCTAATTTTTTTTTTTTTTTTTTTTTTGTATTTTTAGTACAGACGGGGTTTCACCATATTAGCCAGGATGGTCTCTATCTCCTGACCTAGTGATCCACCTGCCTCAGCCTCCGAAAAAGTGCTGGGATTACAGGTGTGAGCCACCGCGCCCAGCCAAAGAAAAAATGTGTGAGGTATCTTGTGCCATAAGGAGGAATTTGGAGATAAGAACAGCTGTGGTAATCACTGTCCTTGGGTACTTGGAACAATGAGTACACCTGAGTAGGTGCCAGGTCTGGAAAAGAAGAGGTCACACCAACGCAGGACAGGGAGAAGCAGCGCCACCTATGGATGTCATCACTCAAGGGAGCACTCCAGACATCCACACAACAGGTCACCAGACCCTCAGTGGAGAATTTTTCTTTCTTCTCGTCTCTCTCTTTCACTTGAGCAGAATGGCTAACATTCCTGTTCCTTGATTGCCTCTGATTTTGAGCAGGTTTCTCATATTTCATGAGTTTAGGAGAAGAGATCAGGAACCTCCTCATTCTGCTGCTTTGAGAAGTAAATGAGTGACAGTACACAAGTGACTGGCCAATCTTCAGTATTACTAGACTTTTTTTGTTTTGTTTTCTTTTTTGAGACAGAGTTTCACTCTTGTTGCCCAGGCTGGAGTGCAATGGCCCAATCTCAGCTCACTGCAACCTCCGCCTCCCGGTTTGAAGTGATTCTCGTGCTTCAGCCTACCGAGTAGCTGGGATTACAGGCATGTACCACCATGCCCAGTTAATTTTGTATTTTTAGTAGAGATGGGGTTTCTCCATGTTGGTCAGACTGGTCTCGAACTCCTGACCTCAGGTGATCCGCCTGCCTCAGCCTCCCAAAGTGCTGGGATTACCAGTGTGAGCCACTGCACCCAGCCCAGTATTACTAGCCATTTTAAATGAAGGCTTTCTGGCTGGGTGCGGTGGCTCACGCCTATAATCCCAGCACTTTGGGAGGCCGAGGCGGGCAGATCACTTGAGGTCAGAAGTTCGATACAAGCCTGGCCAACATGATGAAACCCCATCTCCACTAATACTACAAAAATTAGCCAGGTGACAAGAGATCCTCAAAGTCCTGCTGTTCTCCTTGAGTCTTCCCAGGGCAGAGAAAAACACACAACAATCTGAGTAGTGAGATGGAATTTTAACAGTAAGAGAGGCAAGTCCTACTTACCTTGGACATGGTCATTTTTCCTCCTACTTTAGGGAATTTGCAGAGTCCTGAATGACACAGTTCCAGGGAAAGCAGAATTGTGCCTGGAAAGTGCCATGAAGACAGAAAAAGAGACATGAAAGGGTGGCCAGGGATGTCACCCACCAACAAGGACTCATATTGTCAATTAGCACATGAACGCTCACAGCAGCATTATTCATACTAACCCCAAATTGCACACAACCAAAAAGCTCTCCTACAGGTAAAGGGACAGAAAAATTGTGGCATATTCATACAATGGAATCTTATTTGGAAATGTAAAGGAATGAAATACTGACCCATGCAACAACACCCGTGAACCTTGAAAACATTACAGTAAATGAAAGAAGCAAGTCACAAAAACCCACAGACCCTACGATTCCATTTATATGAAATGTCTGGAATAGACAAGTAGAATAGAATAGAAAGTAGGTTAGCAGTTGTTCTAAATTTGAGTTGAGAATGAGGTTCAAAGTAAATGGGCATGAGGAGTCCAACTGGGGGATGAAAGTGATCTCGGCTGAATTATGATGATGATTACCCCACTTCAAAGTTCCTAAAGACCACTGAACTGACTTGTATACCTGAAATGGGTGAATGCTATAACTAAAATAAACCTAGAGTTTAAAAAAAAAACTGTTAATGCACATATCATTAGAATCAATAAGACTGGATTCTGAGTCCACATTGATAGAATATTTATAGTTGAACAAATCAATGAACCAATAGAGGAGAAATGGAAGCTCTTTTTTACAAGAAAATGCCCACTAATAATGTATTTTCCCATAAGAAACTTCATAATTTAAAAAAAAGTAACATAAGAGTGGAAAAATCTGAAAGACATCTTCTTGGCCAGTGACAAAGCTGAGATCACCAATGAAGGGACAAACGAACATCACTTGGACCTTGTTATGTTACAATGAAAAGGGCATCCTATTGCACCATTGTACCCCAGCCTGGGTGACAAGAGCAAAACTGTCTCAAACAAAAAAAAAAAAAAAGAAAAGGGCATCTTAACACTCCTGTGGAATCCCCACCAACAATGTATAATCTAAACCTAAATGTGAAATATATCTGTAGGGGAAAGAAAAAGAGATCAGGCTGTTACTGTGTCTACGTAGAAAAAGGAAGACATGAGAAACTCCATTTTGATCTGTACTAAGAAAAATTCTTCTGCCTTGAGATGCTGTTAATCTGTAACCCTAGCCCCAACCCTGTGCTCGCAGAAACATGTGTTGTATTGACTCAAGGTTTAATGGATTTAGGGCTGTGCAGGATGTGCTTTGGTAAAAATGTGTTTGCAGGCAGTATGCTTGGTAAAAGTCATTGCCATTCTCCAGTCTCGATTAACCAGGGACACCATACACTGCGGAAGGCCACAGGGACCTCTGCCCAAGAAAGCCTGGGCATTGTCCAAGGTTTCCACCCACTGAGACAGCCTGAGAGATGGCCTCGTGGGAAGGGAAAGACCTGACCGTCCCCCAGCCCGACACCCATAAGGGGTCTGTGCTGAGGAGGATTAGTGAAAGAGGAAGGCCTCTTTGCAGTTGAGGTAAGAGGAAGGCATCTGTCTCCTGCTCATCCCTGGGAATGGAATGTCTCGGTATAAAACCCAATCGTACATTCTATTTACTGAGATAGGAGAAAACCGCCTTATGGCTGGAGGTGAGACATACTGGCGGCAATACTGGTCTTTACTGCACTGAGATGTTTGTGTAAAGTCACACATAAATCTGGCCTATGTGCACATCCAGGCACAACTCCTTTCCTTAAACTTATTTATGACAGAGTCCTTTGCTCACATGTTTTCCGGCTGACCCTCTCCCCACCATTACCCTATAGTCCTTCCACATCCCCCTCACCAAGATAGTAGAGATAGTGATCAATAAATACTGAGGGAACTCAGAGACCAGTGCCGGTACAGGTCCTCATTTGCTGAGCGCCGGTCCCCTGGGCCCACTTTTCTTCCTCTATACTTTGTGTCTGTGTCTTATTTCTTTTCTCAGTTTCTCATTTCCACCTTGTGAGAAACACCCACAGGTGTGGAGAGGCAGGCCCCCTTCAATATCAAACTCCAAATGAACAACTATGGAAATGTGACAGCTAAAGACAACGCATAAACTGGACTTTGAATAGGTGAAGGGTGGGGCAGAGGACAGTCATAAGGACTTTAAATGAAAAATTTAACAAATTCGTATATGGAACTGCAGATTAGATAACATGATGCTAGGTAATATGCTATCCAACACTATCTAGTAAGTACACTACAAATACTAGTATTCTTTTAACACATCTATCTGACATGTAATCGGTAACAGTATTATTTAACATAATATCCAATATTATCTACCATGTTATGTGAAACCCTATAACCAGCCCTTCCTAAATGCCTCTTACCAAGACACCCCACAATTACCGTGGTATGTGGGCTTCCTTGCTGCAGAAAGCTACCAATCAGCTGTCTCTGGTTACAGGTATGTTCCTGGTGGTATTTGGTTGATGGTCATCAACAAAGCAAACAGGAAAAATGTAAACACTTGGCAAATTTGGGTAAAGGGTATATGAGAATTTCTTATACTGTTTTTGCAATTTTTCTATAGCTTTGAAATGATATCAAACGTTTTAAAATATCAGGCAACAAGAGACCACTCACCAAGTGACAGGGACAACTTTAAGGCTTTCATTTGTATTATCTCTTTCAATTCGCAAAACAATTCTATTAGGATGACCCTATAAGCACCATTTTAAAGAACAGCAATGGGAAGTACAGAGACATTAACATTCCACATCACACTGCGAGAAAGAGTGTACACACTGCATACGTAGGGAGGCGGACTGAGCGAGGTCAAAGTCCTGGAAACCCTCAGAGCAGGGCACACAAGGCCACCCCAATCCCACCCCCCGGGAGGCGAGCAAAGCCCCCCGACGCCAGAAGGCTCCGCTGACGGGAACAATAAACACCCTCCCCGCCCTCGCACCTCTAAACCTCTGCTCTTCGCCAAGGCTTCTTTTCCCCTGAGACGATCATCGATCATCGGGTGGTTGCGAGCCTCAAGCAAAGGGGGTTCGTTCAAAATGTCCTGCAAGACGCAGAAATGGCTCAAACTACCCCGGTCATTAAAGCAGGAACCTCAGACTAGGAGACCGGAAGTGTCCTCTCTGCGCCAGAGTGTCTGGACTCCACTCCCCAGAATTCCCCGGACCCGCCCCCCTGAGCCAAAGGGCCCGGGACTCCGCAGAGTGTCTGGACTATCGTTCCCAGAATTCAACGGTTCACCTGCCAGAGCCAAAATACCCAGTGTTCCACGAGCCAGTGGACTACACTTCCCGTAAAATGGACTACTCTTCCCAGAATTCTCCGGAAACGCCTACCTGAGCTGAAGTATCAGGAATCCCGCAAGGTGTCTGGACTGCAGAGCCTCAGATGCAAAAGGAAAATGTCCATCACCTCACCCTTTAGGCTCAAGTGTTGCGACTACATGGTGCTCCTCGATTACACTTCCCGCAACACCCACGGGGAACGAATTTCATAGCCCCAGGTTCCTGGTGGGGAATGCAGACTGTTACCCTGACAGTTGTCCTTCCCAGAGTCCTCGAGCGAAAATATTGAATAGAAAGAATTTATGAAGTCTAAATGTCTCCCATGATTGACAGGAGTGTTCTTGGACAGGGAACAAGCGAGGAGATACAATATTCAAGGAGCTAGATAGAGTGACTGTTGAGCCGTCAGATGGCTGAAAGGAGGCTCAGGGTTTAAAGCAAGGATATCCAACTCCAGGGCCACAGACCTGTACCGGTCCACTGACTGTTAGGAACCGGGCGGCACAGCAGGAAGTGAGCGGCAGGTGAGGGAGCATTATGGCCTGAGCTCCACCTCCTGTGAGATCAGCCCAGCATTACATTCTCATAGGAGCGCGGATCCTATTGTGAACTGTGCGTGCGAAGGATCTAGGTCAGGCGCTCCTTATGAGAATCTAATGGCTGAGGTGGAACAGTTTCATCCCGAAACCATTCCCCAGTCCGTGGAAAAATTGTCTTCCACAAAACCGGTCCATGGTGCTAAAACGGTTGGGGACCACTGGTTTAAAGAATGAGCCAGGTAGAATGGGTTGGGAGGGGCAATGAGAAGCCAGGAAAGCATCAGCCCCTGTAACTGAAAAGTAGATCAGTGGCTTCCCGTTTGCAACGTCCAGTTAACAAGAGGGAGATCTGGTATAAAGAAAGTGATTTATTCTAGAGCTAGCGTAGGGGAAGTAGCACAGGTGTTGTCTTTAAGTGCACGGCTTGGCTTTTAGAGCAGAAAGCAGGCACTTTTAAAAGGTAGGGGAGGAAGAGGGAAGGGGTCTGTGTGCTGGCTTGGTGCCTTATCTATTAGGCAGTTGAGCTGGCTTTTTCATGGGCAGAAATAAGTTGTAACCAGAAGGGAGAGAGTAGCAGGCACGCTTTCAACTGTTGTCTCTTCAGGCAACCTCCTGGTGAGTGAGAGTTCAGAGGCCAGCATGCTTTAGTTTGTAAATTGACTGTTAATTCTGGAGGAGAGTTCTGGCTTGGAGCACACAGTTAGATGAACTTTCCCTGTAGGAAGTGTCTGGTGAAGGGGAGGTAAAAGTCTATATTTGCATTTTTAAAGGGCTACATAGGAAGTGGGGAACTAAGGGAATGAGAAAAGAGAGAGAAATAAATAAGCTGTCTCTTAGAAAAATGGTGGTTCTCAGTTACAGCCCTAGTCCAGATGCTGTGGTACCACTGGTTTGACAGGAAAAACAAAATTCCAGCCACCAATGGAGAAGCTGTGTCCTCATGGAAAAGCTACATTTAACATTCTCATGGTAGTAATATTTCTACTTTAGATGTAGAAACGCTAAATTTCAGAGAAGTTAGTGAATTGCTAAGTATCTTAAAGCAAGTATAACTGTTGAAGAGCTTGGCATTGGTATCAATCTGACACCCAATGTCTGATTCAATGCCATAAAACTGGAGAAGATTCTATAGGTGACGGAGCATGATTTATTATTAAGAGTTTCTTCCTTTCCATTTCTTGGTTAAAATATCTTCATTATAGGAAACAATTTGAAAACTGGCATATGTTAGTTGAAAGACATTAATAATAGTATAAAGCTAAATCAGGAAACAATTCATCTAAAATTCTCTTTTGAAGATAAACCATATTTTTTGTCCTCCCAAATAAACATACATTGACCTGTCGACCTATATTTTTCTTTTTAAAAAGAGTCTAATGTCCTGTATCCATTTTCCTAAAGTAAAAAAAAATAAAAAAAAATTAAAAAAAGACTGTTCACAATTTTTTTTTGATACAGAGTCTTGCTGTTTTGCCCAGGCCAGAGTGCAGTGCGCGATCTCGGCTCACTGCAACCTCTGCTTCCTGGGTTCAAGTGATTCTCCTGCCTCAGCCTCCCAAGTAGCTGGGACTACAGGCATGTGCCACTACGCCTGGCTAATTTTTTGTATTTTTAGTAGAGATGGGGGTTTCACTGTGTTAGCCAGGATGGTCTCAATCTCCTGACCTCGTGATCTGCCCACCTTGGCCTCCCAAAGTGCTGGGATTACAGGTGTGAGCCACTGCACCTGGCTGACGTTTCACAGTTTGGTTTGGACAAAAATTAAGGTGACTGAGCAACCACATAGTGCCAAACAAATTTTCAATGCCCCCTTGAAAATTGAGTGATGGCTATTCCTATACCAATTACAGCTGTATCCTTACTCTACTCTGCATTCACAAAAGATAAAATTTATTGATACTCTCAGTGGTAGTGTATGCAAGGAGCTGAGCCTGAGATGTTAGGCGGCACCTGGCATCAAAGGTCCCTGCTGTTGCCCACGTCCCTGTGCTCTGGGCCTCTGATGGGAGGAGCAGCCTCCAAGATCTGTGAAATACTTCTGGGGTCATTCTTCCATTGTCTTGGACAATAGGTCCTGGTTTGAGTCAACATGGTCAATCCATACTAATCTCATAAATCAGTTGTTCAGCCACACCCTTGTTTTCTCCAGGACAGGGTTTTGCATGTTTTCCAAAGTAGATAAGCTGCAAATTTTAAAAGTATTTAGTTCTCTTTACCTTTTAATTAGTAATTCCGGCTTTCAGTCACTTCTCACTTTCTACATTTTACTATAGGTAGTCAAGATTATTCAAGATGCAACTTCAACACATTGTTAAGAAATAGTGTCAGCTAAATATTCAATTACATTGCTCACAAGTTCTACCTACCAAAAAACACTAGGACCTGAATATAATTCAGCCAAATTATTTACCCCTTTATAACAAGAACCCCGCTTTCTTCAGTTTCCAGTAACATGTTCCACATTTCTGACTGAGGTCTCATCATAATGGCCTTTACTGTCCATATTTCTATCAACATTCTGATCGTGACCACATAGGTTTACTCTAAGAAGACTGATGCTTTCTCTAGCTCTCATTCTGTCCTTCTGAGCCCTAACCAGAATTGTCTTTAACAGTCCAATCATGACAATGTAGGTTTTTCCTAGCATGCATTTCAGAAGTCTCCCAGCCTCTACCCATTATACAGTCACAAAGATACTTCCACATTTTTAGATATTTGTTACAACAGCAATCCCACTTCTCAATACCAATATTCTTAGTCACAAAAAACCATGGGCTAGCTGGCTTATAAGCAACAGAAACTTATTCCTCACAATCAAGGCACTGGGAGATTTTATGTCTGAAGTGGGGCTGCTTTCTGGTTCATAGGTGGCACCTTGTTGCAATGTCCTCAAATGGTGGAAGTGATGAACAAGTTTCCTCAGGTCTCTTTTACAAAGGGACTCATCCCATTAATAAGAGTTCTGCCCTCATAATCTAATCACCCTCCAAAGGCTCTACCTCCTAAAACCATCTTATTGGGGGTAAGGAATTAAACATGTGAATTTTAGTGGTCCACAAACATTTAAACCATTGCATCAGGTAGTTTCATAATTACTAAGTCATATTATTGTAAAAATAACTCAGCTAACTAGAGTTCAACATCATTACAGTTCTTTTTGTCTTTATGCTGAGGACATATACTCAAAATACTGTACTGTGTTTAATATGGTACTTAAATGACTTCTTGCTTTCATCTTTAGTCTGTGTTATTGATTTGAATGCATTTAGGTTAGTCTGTTATTCTTTGATTTTAAGTTTCCTGGTTTATCTCCATTCTTGATTTTATATTATTATGTCAATCAATAACATATTCCCATAAGTCTATACTATACAAAATGTTATTCTCAGAAAAGTGCCACTCACTCCCCTCCTTTCCACCGCACCACTTCCACAGTGTTGACTCCTAATACCCATGTGTAACCAATTTCATTATTTTCTGGTTTATCATTACCAGTTTTTACAGAAAACATGTAGATTTCTTATTTTCGCTGTTTACTTAAACAAAAGGTAGCATTCATCTAAACCTTCTATGGTCACTCAACAATATATCCTGGAAAATCACTTCATATAGAGTACATGCTTTTCACAACTCCACAAACTCCATTGTGTGCTTTATTCAATACTGCACCCATTCATGGGCATTTCAGTGGTTTCCAATATTTTATTACTACAAACAATGCCATGATACATAAACTCATACATATATATTTTCTCCCTGTTGATGATATATGTTAAGGGTACATTTCAAAAAGTAGGATTTCAGGGCCAAAATGGGAATAGAAGTGTATTTTGTTGCATATTGTCAAATTGCCTTTATATTTTATACTATTTTTCATTTCCAGAAGCAATGTATGAGGAATGTCTTGCCTTGACACTAGCTAACAGAATGTGGTATTTTGATGTTTTTAAAGTTTTCCCAATCTAATGGTAAGAAATGGTAACTAAATGTAGTTTTAATTTGTATTTTTTTTTGTAAATATCATGGAATATCTTTGCATATTTTCTTTTTTTATAAGGGTAGAACATATTTTATTTTACATGTTATTAGCTTGCTTTGTACACTTAAATATCAAGGCATATGGTAGGTAGGCCTCCATTTGTATTCTTGCCCTGAACCCTGTAAATGTCACAGTCAGGCCTATATTCCTTTTTTTCCACATTTATTCATCACATTTATTCACAAGTTAAAGAATTAGAAACACAGCTTTGTCATTTGTAAAATAACCAAGTTGTATAAGATAATCTCTAATTTTCTTTCCCCCTCTAAAATGTTATGACATTTATTATAATAATAATAATTATTCTTTATTTTACTTTAAGTTGTGGGATACATGTGCTGAACATGCAGGTTTGTTACATAGGTATATGTGCCATGGTGGTTTGCTGCACCTCATCTTTGCATATTTTCAAGGACCATTATTATATTTTTTGGAAACTGTACAAATCTCTTGTCCCATCTTCTATTGTGTTTTTGGTCTTTTCTCCTTAATTTTAAGTATTATTTATACATTTACAATATTAACATATCTTCCAAATGTTTTCTTAAAAAAATAGTTTGAGTTTTCTCTGACTGTGCTTCTAGGTTTTTTGGCTATGCCAGATATTTTGAACATAGTCTTTATTATTTTAAATAAGTTTTCTTTAAGTGTAATTTACAAAAAATAAAATTAACCATTTAAAAATATATAATTTAATGGCAAGGGTACCTCGTACAAATACAAAACCACGACCTCTTAAGTTCTAAACCATTTCATCACCCAAAGAAAACTCCATCCCCACTAAACAGTCACTCACATTGGCCATACCCCTATCCCTGGCAAACACAAATCTTTCTATCCTATTTAATTATCTGTTTTAGTCATTGTATATAAATGGAATCACACAGTATGGGATCTTTGTTTCTGACCCTTTTCATTTAGCATAATGTTTTTAAAGTTCATCTGCATCACAGCATGTATCAGTACATAATTTCCTTTTATACAGGAATAATATTTTATTCTGTGCTTATACTACATTTTGCTTATCCATTGATCTACTGGTAACATTTGGTTCTTTCCACCTTTTGGCTGCTGTGAATAGTGCTACTACAAACATTCCTATACGCATATTTATTCCATTACCTGCTTTCAGTTCCTTTGGGTAAATACCTAGATATGAAATTATATGAATTATAGATATGATTAATAGGGTAATTCTATGTTGAGGATCACAAAACAGTTTTCCAGAAAAATTGCCCCATTTTATGTTCCCACCTTCAATGTGTGAAGGTTGTAATTTCTCCACAGTCTCTCCAACATGTATTATTTTCTATTTTTGGGAATGATAGCTAGCACAGTGGTTGTCAGTGGTATATTATTGTTGGTTTGATTTGCATTTTCCTCATGACTAATGGTGTCGAGCCCTTTATTGGTCACTTGTATACTGGAAATGCCCATGTATGTCCTTTGCCCATTTTTTTTTTTTTTTTTTGAGATGGAGTCTTGCTCTGTCGCCAGGCTGGAGTGCAGTGGCGCAATCTTGGCTCACTGCAACCTCTGCCTCCTGGGTTCAAGTGATTCTCCTGCCTCAGCCTCCTGAGTAGCTGGGACTACAGGCATGCGCCACCACATCCAGTAAATTTTGTATTTTTAGTAGAGACAGGGTTTCACCACATTGGCCAGGATGGTCTTGATCACTTGACCTCATGATCTACCCGCCTCGGCCTCCCAAAGTGCTGGGATTACAGGTGTGTGCCACCATGCCTGGCAGTCCTTAGCCCATTTTTAAATTGGGTGCTTTCAACTTTTTTCATTGCGTTATAAGAATTCTTTTTATATTCGGGATACTAGAACCCATGCTGCATGGTCTTTTTGTGTTCTTGACCATGTATATCCATGCACAGAATTTTTAAAAACTGAAGTCCAATTTATGTATTTTTTATTAGCTTCTGCTCACGTTGTCTCTTTGAAGAATCCATTCCAAATAAAAAGTCAGGAAGATTTATCTCTATGCTTATTTCTAAGAGTTTTATAGTTTAAGCTCTTAAATTTAGGTCACTTACGGATTCTGAGTTAATTTTTAAGTATAGTGTGAGGTACGAACCTAACTTCATTATCCTGTATGTCCATGTATCAGCGTCCCAGCAGTATCGGCTGCTATTCTATCTCCATAAAGTAATCTTGAATGTTTCCTGAAAATAAAGTGGCCTTAGATTTATGGGTTTTGTTATGGACTCTCAATTTTAGCCCATTAGTCTCTCTCTCTCTCCATATATATATATATATATATCTTTGTATGCTAGAACAACTTTGTATGCTAGAATCTTTTTAAATAGATAAAACAATTGTTTTGATTACTATAGCTTGGTAAAAGTTTTGAAATCAGAAAGTGCAAGTTATCCACTTTGTTCATTTTTATCAAGATTGATTTTTCCATTTGTGGCCATTGCAATTACATATGAATTTCGGTATTGGCTTTTCTATTTCTACACAAAAGGCTGTTGGGATTTTGATAAAGATTCTATGAAAAGTGTATAATTCTCTGGGTAGTAGTGTCATCTTTACAATGTGAAGTCTTCCTATCCCCTCAGCTCCTAGATAGTAGGTGAATTCAGGATGATCATAGGATACATGACCAACATACCAAAATCCATTGTATTTCTTTATAATAGCAATAAACACATGGAAACCAAAATAAATTAAATATTCAGGTATAAATCTGACAAAAGAATTACACAGGTTGCAAGTTGAAAATTACAGCACTATGAAAAAAATTAAACAACATGAAATAGATGGAGAGATATTCTATATTAATAGATTGTGAAACTGAACATAGTAAAAATGTCAATTCTCTCCCAATGGATGCACAGCTTTTTGATAATTACTATCAAAATCACAGCAAGTTGTTTTTTTGTTTTTTGTTTTGTTTTGTTTTATTTTGTTTTTTTGAAATGGAGTTTCACTCTTGTTGCCCAGGCTGGAGTGCAATGGCGCCATCTCGGCTCACTGCAGCCTCCACCTCCCAGGTTCAAGCGATTCTCCTGCCTCAGCCTCCCGAGTAGCTGGGATTACAGGCACGCGCCACCACGCCCGGCTAATTTTGTATTTTTAGTAGAGGCGGGGTTTCGCCATGTTGGTCAAGCTAGTCTCGAACTCCCGACATCAGGTGATCTGCCTGCCTTGGCCTCCCAAAGTGCTGGGACTACAGGTGTGAGCCACCACACCCTGGCCAGCAAGTTTTTTTAATAGATAAAAAATTCATATCAAAAGGCAAAGGAACTAGATCACCTAAAACAACTTTGCAAAAGAAGAATAAAGTGGGAGGAATCACTCTAATAATGTCAAGAGTTATTATATATCTACATTAACCAAGGCAGAGTAATATTCTCTGAGTATAGACACACGGATCAGTGGAACACAATAGATAACCCAGAAATGACCCTAACCAACTATAACAAAATGATTTGTGCCAAAATGCTAAAGCAAATAAATAGAAATGGGACAGTGTTTTCATCAAAGACTGCTGGGAAAACTGAACATCCATGTGCATAAAAGAAAAAGAATCTGAGACTTTATTTCAAAATTAAGTCAAATTGGATCATAGATTTAAATGTGAAATATCAATGTAAAATCATAAAATTTTAAGAAGACAGTGTAGGAAAACTGTCAGTACCTAGAGCTTTGTCAGTGTTTGCAGATCTCATATCTGACGAAAAATTTATATCTACAATATATAAACAACTCTCACAACTCAACCATAAAATAGTCTAAGAAGAAAAGGAGCAAAAAACACAAAGACCCAATTCACTTAAGAAGAGTTATGGATGGTATTTGAACACAGAAACAGATACTCACAGCATTAAATAAAATACACTAAGATTAATGATAGGTGATGAGCTAAAAAGAAAATAGCAAAAAAAAAAAAATCTCATGATGTTTTTAAAAAGCTTACAAATTTGTGGTGGGCCACATTCAAAGCCGTCCTGGGCTGCATGTGTGCCACTGGCTGGACAAGTTGAGCTAAAGGGTGTTATGCTGAGTAAAAAGACAATCTGAAAAAGTACATAATACATGATTCCATCTATATGTCATTCCCAAAATGACAAAATGTAGAGATGGACATCAGATGAGTAGTTGCTAGGGGTAATGAATGGTAGGGACACAAGTTGGGTTGACTATAAAGGGATACTTCAAGAGAGATCTTTGTGGTGATGGAATAGTTCTTTCTGTATCATCACTGCCTTGGTGATTCCATTAAATCTACATGAAATACGACAAATAAAAGTGGTATACACACACATTGTACCAATGTTGAATTCCTGGTTTTGATATTTTACTAAAATTATGTAAAATGTAAAATGTAATTAAGAATGTAGATGGAAGACTCGGGGTTTCTCTGTACTTCCCTTGCAATTTCCTGTGAATTTCAAATTATTTCACTACAAAAAGATAACACAACTGATTATTATCAATCCCTGCTTTTCTAAGGAATGTCTTTTTTTTTTTTTTTTTTTTTTTTTTAAGACAGAGTCTCGCTCTGCCGCTCAGGCTGGAGTGCAATGGCGCCATCTCAGCTCATAGCAACCTCCACCTCCCCTTGCTATTCTCATGATAGTGAGTGAGTTCTCATGAAATCTGGTTGTTTGGAAGTGTGTGGCATTTCCCCTTTGCTCTCTCTTTTCTGTTCTAATGTTTCTTCTCCTTCACCTTCCACCATGATTGTAAGTTTCCTGAGGCCTCCCAGTCATACTTCCTGTCAATCCTTGGAACTGTGAGTCAATTAAATCTCTTTTCTTTATAAATTACCCAGTCTCGGGTAGTACTTTATAGCAGTGGGAAAACAGACTAATACAGCTTATTACCCAATTTCACTCCTAAGTATACACCAAGAGAAATGAAAGCTAAGAGATGTGATTCAGAAGAGAGCTCATGTTGTATGATTTCATTTACATGAAATATTCAGAATGGGCAAATCTGTAGAAACAGAAAGTAGAATAATGGTTGCCAGGAGCTAGTGGAGAAAGGATGAGGATTGGGAGTGACTGCCAATGGATAGGGGATTTCTTTCTGGGCCGATTTAAAAAACCTGAAATTAGAGAGTAGTGACAGTTGCACAACTTTGGGAATTTACTAAAAAACCACTAAAGGATATATTTTAAAGTGATGCATTTTATGATATTTGAATCATTACTCAAGTTTAAGCAAGGTTGGACTGGTTGGCCTAATAGTATTTTGGGGCCTGTGTAACCAAGCACCTTAGCTTCAAACTACATTTTAAAGACCGTCTTTTCTTTCCCACTTCTCCCCAGTCTCAAGACGTAGCTTTGAGACAAACTACAGATGTGTTTTCTTTCGTGTTGAAATACAGCCTCCAAATCTGCTTTAAAACTCCACTCCCTTCTTTTTCCCACCTTATGCTTCCATGCCCTATACACATTTATTTACCAGGATGCTTGTTAAGCTCACACCGCGCTCACTTATCTGCTCACATATTTCCTTAGAAGCTTCAGGGGAAGAATACTGATGAGGATCAGGCAGCTCTGGAATTCTCTCCTCCTGGCTACAGATGAACTGCAAGATTGACAGTCCATTAATTTATAACCTGATTGAGCCCATGATCGTGCTGGCCCCTTCACCAGATGCAACAATAATTCAAGATCATCAGAGCGAGACATGCCATCAGGTACCTCCTAAACCCCCTTACCTCTCTGCATTCCAAGCCCACTTCTTAAACTGTGGCCCTCTCTCCAGAAATTGAAAAGTGGCAACTTTTGGAAAAGATTCCAATCACTCTTTCCCTTGCTAGCAACAAGTAATAAAATTCACTCTTTTTATCACACTTTCCTGTTGTTATTTTGGCTTTTTTCTATAAGAGATAAGCAGCTGGACCTTCTTTCACTTATACCAATAGCCCACTCACCTATCATGAATTGGTATATTCCCTTCCCTCACAACACATTGAAAATACTTCTACCATTACACTCACCACAATGCCCAGAGTTAATGCTTCACAGATATGTCTACTCACTGCCCTGTATAACCTGACAGCAATGCTTAGAAACCAAGAGCATAATTATACACAAAGTATCTAAAGCATAATTTGTAATGAGAAATTCCTTAATTCCAAAGTGTGAGAATAATTCAAAAATCAAAAACATGGAGGTCAGCATTATTCTAATAAAACATCACTCTGACTAACTCTGTGGCAGGCTTTCCTGAAGTGGAATTGGACAGAGCATCACCACAAATGTCCTTTACCCACTATTTATTCAGGATACGCCCTACTGACTAGTGCTTGCAGGGTCTACTCCAAACCCCTATTGCCATTCCTTTCTCTTCCATAAAGCCTAAAAAATCAAATATTCTCTTTCTCTGCCTTTGTCTAGCTAGAGATTTTCATGGGACATATTCTGGGAAGTAAGATAGAAAAGGAAGTGAGCAGTCCTCTCCTGACAAGAGATGCTGTGAGGACATAAGGGATTAAGAGAGCAAAAAGGTGATAGCCTCAGTGGATTGTAGGTATTGGCGAGGTACTAAGATTATCGATGCAAGTATGCTGATGGGACTCAGGTGGCAATACAGATGAAAGTTGTTGCGGACTAGTGCTGCAAATTATTACCGAAGAGTATTTTCTAGGAAATGACAATGTTTAGGTTATGACCATGGAAGAGAGCATCCCTTGATATTTCACATGAATCTTGGGTGGATTTTTCCATTTCTGAAAAAAAATCATTGTGATTACGTTAAGGATTGCAGTGAATCTGTAGACCATTTTAGGTGGTATTTACTGCCTTGTAATTTATCTCTCAACTCATTAATAATGGATATATCTCCATTTATTTGTGCCTCTTTTAATTTCCTTCAGTAATATGTTTCAGAGCTCAGTGTTCAAGTGCTTCTCTTGTCCTTGGTTATGACAGTTCCTAAGTAATTGTTTCTTTTTGATGCTATTGTCAAGATAAGTATTTTCCTTTCAGATTGTTTTTTTGTGCAGAAATACAAACTACTTCTTCTATACAGGTATTTTTCCAGCAACTTTTTGACTTTGTTAGCTCTAAGAGGTTTTTTTCTTGTGTATTCTGTAGAACTTATAAGAACATGTCATCAGCATGTAGACACAGTTTTATGTGTTTCCAATTTTAACAGGTTTATTTCCTTTTTCTACCTAATTGTTCTGCCTAGAACTTCCAATACTATGTTGACTAGAGGTGGAAAAGTGGAGCAAATTCATTGTGTTCCTGATATTAGAAAAAGAGCTTGCAGTCCTTCACTATTGAATAAGAAAATAAGCTCTTGAAATTTTCCACATCTAGCCTTTATTTTGTTGAGATAGTTTCTTTTCTTTTTAGTTGAGTGGTATTTTAATCATGAAAGTGTGAATTTTGTTAAATGAATTTTCTGCATTCACTGACATGATCATGTGGATTATATTTTTATATCTTTCAATCTGTTCATGCAGCATAATACATTAATATTTGTATGTTGAGTCATAAATTATATTTGCATTCCAGGAATAAATGTTTGGTCATTGAGTATAATCCTTTTAATATGCTGCTGAATTTTGCTGGTATTTTATGGTAGAGTCTTGCATCAGTATTCATATGGGATGTTGATGTATAATTTTCATGCAATGTCTTTGTCTGGTTTGGTACCATGGTAATCCTGGCCTCAGAGAAGGAACTAGGAAGTGTTCCCTCCTCTTGCCTATTTGGGAAGAGGTTGAGGAGTTATGGTGTTAAGTGTTCCTTAAATGTTTGGAATAATTCTTACTAAGTAAAATAAGGGTTACTAAAAATAAAAATAATTTTTTTTTTAAATGCAAGAATTAACCAGTGGAGCCACCTAATTTTGGGCTTTCTTTGTTGGGAGGCACTGGGTTACTGATTCAATCTCCTTACTAGTTAAGGATCTACTCAGATTTTCTGTCTTCATGATTCATTTTTGGTAGGGTATATGTTTTAAGAGATTTGTCTATTTTATCTAGGTTGTACAATTTGTTGGCATACAATTAAAGATAGTGCTCTGTTATAATCATTTTTATTTCTCTAAAATTTGCAGTAAAGTTCATATTTTTGTGTGTAAATTTTGCTTCTTGAGGCTTCTCTATTTTTTAGTCAATCTAACTATAGGTTTCTCAAGTTTCTTAATCTTCTGGAATAACCAACTCTTGGTTTGGTTAATTTTCTGTTTTTCTATTCTCCATTTGTCATTGCATTAATCGGTATTCTTTCTTTCCTTCTACTAGCTTTCTGGTTCAAATTCTTTGCCTTTTTGTAGTTCATGAATATAAAATTAGGTTGTGAATTTAAGATATTTCTTTCTTTAATATAAGCATTTACAGGTACAAATTTCCCACCTACTACTGCTTTTACCTCATCCAATAAATTTTGGCACGTTGTTTTTAATTTCAATGGTCTCCATATATTTTTTAAGTTCACTTCTAATTTACTCTGACATATAGGTTATTTAAGAATGTGTTTAGTCTCCACATACTTGTGAATTTTCACTTTTCTTGCTGCTATCATTTCTAGTTTTTGTGATCTAGATTGTAATTGGAAAAAATGTATTTTATTATATTAAAATTTAAAATTTATTAACACTTGATTCGTGGCCTAATATATAGCTATCCTGGAGAATATTCCATGTGCAAATGAGAAAATGTATATTCTGTTGTTGTTGTGTGGGTTATTCCGTATATGTGTTTTAGGTCAATTTTGTGTATAATATTCTTCAAATCCTCTATTTCCTTACTTATCTTTGTTTGTTTGTTTTTCTTACATATCTTTGGTCTGGCTATTTGCAAGTGAGGTATGAAGTGTCCTAGTACAGTTGACCCTTAGTATATGTGGGTATATCAAAATGCATACATACTCAAGTCTTGCGGTCAGCCCTGTAGAACCAATGTATATAAAAATTTGGCCCTTCATATATGTGGGTTTCACATCCCATGAATATTGTATTTTCAATCTGAGTTTGGTTGAAAAAAGTTCACACGTAAGTGTACCTATGCAGTTCAAATCCATGTGGCTCACAGTCAACTGTATTATTGGGTAGCTACTTCTCTCTTCAATTCTGTATTTGCTTCATATAATTAGGAGCTCTGATGTTTGGTGCACATATGTTTATAATTGTTATATCTTCTTGGTGAAATCATCCTTTTAGTAATATATAATGTTCTTCTTGGTCTCTTCTAACAATTTTTCACTTAAAGTCTAATTTAGCCCTTAGTAAAGCCACCGTTGCTCTCTTTTTATTACTATTTATATGGAATAACTTTTTCCATCCTTTCCGTTTCAATCTATGCACATCATTAGATTTAAGCATATCCCTTGTGCAGAGCATACACTTGGATACTGTTTTTTTCAATGGTTTTGCCAGTGAACATCTTTTGGTTGAGGAGTTTCACTCATTTACACTAAACTCATTATTTGTAGGAAAGGTCTTACCATTTTGTTATTTTTTAAATGTCTTACTGCCTTTTGCCCCTAATTTCCTCCATTACTGCCTTCCTTTATGTTGAGTCCTTTTTCTGTAGTGATACATTTTGAAACTCTTCTCATTTCCCTTTGTGTGTCTCACTGATATGTTCTTTATTTGAAGAAACATAACATTCTACATGCTATGGTCTAAAGTTATAACCATCTATTTAAAATTGATACCAACTTAACTTCAGTCACATGCAAAAACGCTACTCCTTCACAACTTCTGCTTCCCTTCATGTTATGTGACTGGTATCATGTATTGCAACTATACATATTGTGTACCCATTCACATAGATTTACAATCATTTTAATGCATTTTCCTATTACATAGTGTACAAAATAAAAAGTGGAGTAAAAACTCAAATTACAAAAATAGTGAGTTTTACATCATTCATGTAATTTTATTTACTTTAGATATTTATGTTTTCATATGGTTTCAAGTTGCTGTCTAGCATCCTTTCACTTCAACTTGATGGCATCCCTTTATAACTTCTCATATAAATTGTCTTCCGGTAATGGACTCTCTTGGCTTTTGTTTCTTTAGAAAAGTATTAATTTATCTCTCATGTTTGAAGGATAGTTTTGCTGAATATTGATTTCTCAGTAGACAACTGTGTGTTTTTGGTTTTTTCAGCAGAGAATACATCATCTGTCTTCAGATGTTTGCTGAAAATCTGCTGACATCTTATTGAAGATTCTTTGTACATGACAAGTCATTTTGGACTTGCTGCTGTCAAAATTTTCATTTGTCTTTGTCCTCCAATAATTTTTAACAATATGTCTCAATTGGGTCTCTTTGATTTTATCTTATGTGAAATTCATTGAGCTTGGATTTACAGAATAATGTGTTCTTCATATTTGAGAAGTTTTCAGCCTTTATTTCTGTAAAGCTCTCTTTGACTTTTTCTGTCTCCTCCTAGGACACCTATAATGCATATATGGTGCCTTGGGTTTTGTGTATTTTTACTCATTTCTTTTTCTTTTTTTTTTTTTTTTTGCTTCTGAGACACAATAATTTCCTATGACTTATCTTCATGTTCACTCATTCTGATGGTACTGTAGCAGGAGTAGGAACAATGGGCCTTAGGGGCACTTACCTGTGGCTTCAGGACCCGCTCCAACCCAATCTCATATATACCACTTCCAAGTGGAATACCAATGTGCACATACAATTTAAAGATATGGAGTGGCCAACTACACCCAATTCATAATGGAAACCTTGGCTCACATGCTAATTTGGTAGCCCATGGTTAAGTGCTCTGTCTTTACTAAGTGGGAGGACTGCTTGATGCCAGGAGTTCAAGACCAGCCTGGGCAACAAAGTGAGACCCCATCTGTACAAAAAAAAAAAAAAGAGAGAGAGAGAGTAAACATACGTAGAGGATTTCAGGGCTTCGCTACAAAATTCTATGTGTTTGTGCTTTGATTCATCAGTTGTGGCCAGCCACTCTCTCCAAACATCACTATCTGTTTCTGATATTTCAGTCACTTGTGGGTCTCCTGGATCATAGGACCCTAGTGGAAGAGAAGCTTATATGACAGCTGGCACATATTGCACAACCTTGTCTCAACTGAGGCAAAATGATTTCAGGTCACTCATAAAAAGCAGAGTAGTACACCACAGTGAAGAATAAGTAGCCTCCAACAGCTGAGCAGGGCCACTGGGCATTGGGACACTTTTTTTGGTTTTAGGAAGCATCACATGCTACTTGCCCTACACCTTAGATTAGAAAGAATATCTTTATTTATTTTTTTGAGACAGTCTCACTCTGTCACCGAGACCGGAGTGCAGTGGTGCAATCTTGGCTCACTGCAATCTCCGCCTCTTGGGTTCAAGTGATTCTCCTTTCTCAGGTTCCCAAAGAGCTGGGATTACTGGCACCCACCACCATGCCCAGTTAATTTTTGTATTTTTAGTAAAGATGGGGTTTCATCATGTTGGCCAGGCTGGTCTTAAACTCCTTACCTCAAGTGATCTCCCGCCTTGGCCTCCCAAAGTGCTGGGATTACAGGCATGACCACCACGCTTGTCCTAGAAGGAATATCTCAATAGTTTTGCATCAGTGAACTCATGGAAATTTCACTGAGGTGGAAGTCCTATGAATATTTATAGGACTTATTCTGTCCTTCTGATATGCATGTGTCTTACAAACATGTCTAGATTACTTTCTACTTTTTTCTCACCAGGTCCAATCATCACATTAATGTGCCATTTGACAATAAGGATTCAGTCATTGTCAAAAAGAGTGATTATTTCTCCTTTTGAGTACATAGTCACACAGGTTCATGGCCATAGTTTCCTGTGGAGAACTCTGAAATGTGGTAGGATCTATTCTCATCCAGTATTGGCCTCCCTTTCATGTAAATGAATGTGGATTTGTAAACTGGACATGTCTTGGATTTGATTTTGGGGCTGTGACTCTGTTAGGTGATTCCAGTCACCCTTTTCTTCACTTGCAGTAGAACTCTTCTGAGTTCTATTGACAGAGTAGAGACAGGGCTTGGCTTCAGTTCACCCCGACTAGAGCGTTCTTTCATGCATTCCCAATGATCACAAAACCCACACCTCTACCTCACTGCTAAGAATTCCAGGAACTGGCCTTGGGTGATAACCAAAGTTGTAGAGTGTCTCCCTTCAGGATGAAATGCTAAACAATTGATTTACAGCCTTGTTGCCACCACCCAGACCACCAGGTGGCCCAGTACACAAGATAAGCATTGCAACCAGGTAATGCTGACCTGCATGCCCTACCAGTCATGTGCTTTTCCCAGCCCAGCCTTCAAACCCTATCCCTGATGTTAATTCCCACGCTTTGCCAAATAAACAATCCTATGAGCTCTTTGAAGGGAGTCAGGAAATTCTCTCTTGTGCCGCCTTCCTTATGTCCAGGCATAAGCTCCAGTGAAGGCTTGTCTGGGAAAACCCTTTCAGTCTCATTTCAATTTCTATTGCAGAGCCCAGGAACCTGTGGTTGGTGGCATATTCTTTGGGGATTTGTCTAGGATCATGGGACATGGGGGGCCTTTCTCTCCCTGAGGGGTAGACATGTGAGCTGACAGGACTGCTGGACAAGATTTCTTCATGATTGAAAATCACCTGACTGAACTTTTGATTCAGTGTTACCACAATGGTTGGCTTTCTCCAGCCTCATGGACCTTGCCTCTGCCTCTACTGTAGAGAGCCGAAAGCCGGAGGATCGTGACCAACTCAGCAGTCCAGTGAGGCTATATGATCAAACAACACACTGTTTATCATGAATGCAGGATGTGGGCAAACTCATATCTGTACCTGCCACCAGAAGGTATGCTGAGTTCAATCACTCCCTGGTGCCGTGCTCCTTGAGGTTATCTACTAGAATATCTGGAGACTACTGTTCAGGGAATGCAGTCATCCAGGCCTGCACTGAGTCAAGCAGCTGACTGACAACCACCTCCTTCTCTCTATCTCCTTTGCTCAATAAATACAAAGGGAGCTAGAAGCTCAGGGCCCTTGTTCACTAGAAGCAAGGAGCCTCCTGACCCCTTCTTCCGAATATACTCTTTTGTCTTTATCTTTATTCCCGCGTTCATCCTCCTTTGTTCAGTCCAACAGGGATTGGGGCCACGTCACCCTACCGGCCAATGATTTTCTTTTTTTTTTTTCTTTTGAGACAGGGTCTCACTCTGTCACCCAGGCTAGAGTGCAGTGATGTGATCTTAGCTCACTGCAACCTCTGCCTCCCAGGCTCAAATGATCCTCCTTCCTCAACCTCCTAAGTAGCTGATACTACAGGCATGTGCCACCATGCCCGGCTAATTTTTGTGTTTTTTTAGAGACAGGGTTTCCTCATGTTGCCCACACTGGTCTTGAACTCCTAGACTCAAGCAATCTGCCCACCTTGGCCTCTCAAAGTGCTGGGACTACAGGCATAAGCCACCATGCCCAGTCAATCCCTTCCCTTTTTTCTTTCTCTCTTTTCCTCTTCCTATCTTTTTTCTTACTCAGGGTGCTTTGCCTCTCCTTTCCTAATCCTTACTGGCTTGTGTTGCCTGAATAGACATCCAAGAGGAATGAGTGGAAAGTTTCCCTGTCTTACTGATCCGAGTCACCTGAATAGAAATCCATGCAGGATTTCTATTCAAAGTCAAATTGAAAAGGTTGACTTTGCAGGCCTGATCAACCTGGCAAGCAGTGGGATGGACTGCACCCCTCCCCTGGACTAAGTTTGTTCAGGTTCCAGTCCCAAGAAAAATCTCTCTCTCCCTCTCTTTTCCTCTCTCTGGCACCCTGGCCCTTGATCCTGTAACTTTATTCAAAACTCCGCACTACTCAGCACTTTGGGAGGCCGAGGCGGGCGGATCATGAGGTCAGGAGATCGAGACCATCCTGGCTAACACAGCGAAACCCCATCTCTACTAAAAAAATACAAAAAATTAGCTGGGTATGGTGGCGGGTGCCTGTAGTCCCAGCTACTCAGGAGGCTGAGGCAGGAGAATGGCCTGAACCCAGGAGATGGAGGGTGCAGTGAGCCAAGATCACGCCACTGCACTCCAGCCTGGGCGACAGAGTGACACTCCGTCTCAAAACAAACAAACAAACAAACAAACAAACTCCTCACTACTTCACTTCTATTGTTCTATAGCACTAAAGGTGACTATAACCAACAGTAACTTGTTTTCAAATCCAAAAAACAGATTTTCAATTTTTTCCAACACAAATAATGTTTCAGGTGAAATTAAACTGATTTAATCAGCACACATTATATACATGTATCAAATTTCACACTCCATAAATATGTATAACTTATATGTCATTTAAAAATAATGATAAAATTATATCCAGATTCAAGCGCCTCTTGTAGCGCTTCCCACAGTCCTCACATTTGGATGGGTTTTCTCCACTGTGGTCTCTTTGTTGGTCTTTACAGTATGACCGGCATACAAGCCTCTTTCCACAGTCTTCACATTTCAATGGCTTTCTTTGGCAGTGGAGTTTCTTATGATTCAAAATACTAGAAGCATGTCTAAAGCTCTTCCCGCAGTTATCACAGTTATAAGATCTCTCTCCCGTGTGGGTTCTATGGTGGAAGTCAAGACCTGACTTACTAATGTAGCCCTTCCCACACTCCTCACATTTGTATGGCTTTTCTCCAGTGTGGACTCGTTGATGGACCAAAAGATATGAGGACCATTTGAAGCTCTTCCCACATTCTTTACAATTATATGGTTTCTGTCCCATATGAATCATCTGATGCTTATGCAAATCTAGCCTATCAATGAAACCTCTTCCATACTTTTCAGATTTGTACAGTTTCTCTGCTGTGTGGACCATGCAATGCCTATTAAGACTTGACCTAAGACAGAAGCTCTTACCACATATTTCACATTTGAATGGCTTCTCCCCAGTATGAATTCTGTGATGTTTCTGAAGCTGGAAATTGTGCATGAAAGCCTTCCCACATTTCTCACAATTATAAGGTTTCTCTCTCATGTGTAATTTGCAATGAACTTTAAGTGCTGATCTACATCTGAAGCCTTTCCCACACTGCTCACATTTGAATGGTTTCTCTCCAGTGTGGACTCTTTGATGAGTTTGCAGACGTGAGCTCTGACTAAATTCCTTACCACACACATCACACTTATAGCATTTCACTCCCATGTGGACCCTCTGATGAATATGAAGGGCTGAGATGTAACAGAAGCTTTTTCCACACTCATCACAGGTATGAGACTTCTCTCCTGAATATAACTGCTGAGGAAGATCAAAGAAGGAAACATCACTGAAGAACTGTTTACAATTTTCACCCTGGAAAGGTTTTTCTCTTGTGTGAACTGTAGATAGTCTTGCTTTAATCTGGGAGGGGTTGTCATCTTGTTCAAATAACTGAGAGTTACTTATGGTGGTATCTTGAGACCTGGTTAAGTCACTTGCAATTTGTTCCCAAATTTGCTTGCAGGAAAATTCTTCATGTGTTCCTGCTTCTGGAACAGTCTCCATCTCAGTTTGGATCTTGCCTCCTATAAGGACACAGAATTAAGACATGTGGACAAGTAGGCCAGGCACGGTGGCTCACACCTGTAATCCCAGCACTTTGGGAGGCCGAGGCGGGTGGACTGTGAGGTCAGGAGTTTGAGACCATCCTGGCCAACATGGTGATGCCCTGTCTCTACTAAAAACACAAAAATTAGCCGGGTGTGGTGGCACACACCTGTAATCCCAACTACTCAGGAGGCTGAGGCAGGAGAATCGCTTAAATCCAGGAGGCAGAGGTTGTAGTGAGCCAAGATCAGGCCATTGCACTCCAGCCTGGGCAACAGAGTGAGACTCCGTCTCAAAACAAAACAAAACAAAACAAAAACAGAAACAAACAAACGAACAAAAACACCAAATAAGACATGTGGACAAGTGAAGTCTTTGTTCAGTGTTTTCAAGACTTCACACTTAGGATGTGGGATTTAACTTTAATGAACGTTCATTTTTCTGTTTTCCAAGTGCACCCTGGTTTTTGGTTTGCATGAGACCAATTTAGAACCACACCATGTCTCATATGTAAAATTCTGGATAGAAATAAAATACTTATTTAAAAAATTAATATATACATTTCACTTGTTGCTATTTCTAGTGAATTTTTTAGTCAGTCTAAAATTTTGTGTGGTAAGTTATAAAGCTAAAATACTACATATGTAGTGAAATATGAATCCAAAGGAACTTTAAGGAGAAGCAATAACGAATAAACAGTTTGTATATTTGTCTGTTATACATCCTTACAAAGAAGTTAACCTAACTTGAAAGAGGTCAGGACGTTGTCGTCAGCATCTGAGAGGTAATCTCTAGGATCTTGAAGTGTCATGCCTGAGGAGAGTCTCTTTGCTTGAGGGTAAAACCTGGGTAACTCTGGATAGTGAAACAATATTATTTAGGGTTGTGACTGGCCACTCCTTTGGGGCATGGGGGGTGATACTCCTCACATCAGAAAGAACATCAGTGTGATTCATGGAAGGGCTTTACCTCACAGGGAATCAGTGAACCAGGAGACTAAACAACCACATGGGAATCAACCAACCAATCATGGCTATGAAATTGGAGCCCCAGTAATTACTCTGGACCCCAGCACTCAGGTAAGTTCCCCTGATTGGGAGTTATCTGTGTCTAAGTCACATGCTAATCCTGACAATGTAACATACCCCACTCCACTGGGAGAATACAATAGAAAATAAGGATTTGGTACTTCCCTGGACTCTGTCTTATTTAGTTTCTCTCTTGGTTAACTATAATATGCATGTTTTCCCTGTAAGAATCAGTAACTGTGAGGATAAAAGCATTCAGTGAATTCTAAGAGTCTTTCTAGCAAATTACTAAACATGAAGATAGTTTTGAAAAGCTGCCGAATTTTCACTTGATGTGAAGTGAGAGCAGTCCTCTGTAAAACGTCCCACTAAACTTCGTAGTTGGTTGAACTCTTCACAATGTTAACACCAAACACCTCAGAGTGTTTAATATCTATACCTTCAAAGTATTCCCCCACAATAATTTTACACATGTATAAAAATACTTAATCTTATTTTTCTGTTTTGATATGGATAGTAAGTAACTTGGTTATCTGAAAGAGTACAGGGACAGACAACTGTAGTTCTGAGGGGAATCTGAAAGGCTGTCCTTCCAGGGGTTCACAAAGGGGGATGCTCCTGATCAGACAATCAAAGTTGTTCAGAAACACGTGGAATGAAAAGAAAGTCTATGAGGTAAACAGGCTTTATAACTTTTTATACTCAAGACTATGCCTCAATGAGCTGAAATAAAGTTAAAACCTGCAATAAACATTTACAAAACAAGAACTAGAATGAAAATTATTGCAGCATTATGACAAGCAGGAAAAATGTCATTACATGAATTGCTTACTAAAGCCACTCACACACATCTACACACATGAAAAATGTTTGTCCGTGTTACACTGACAGATATGTTTCTTACTATGGCTAATGCTCACAAAATGTTTAGAACTTTGTCAGGATATTACCAAGTCCTGAATTAGGTACATTTTTCCAATGGAAAGATAACTTCCAAGTTTTTCCAATGGAAAGAATCTTGGAAAATATTAATTGATAAGTATGTACCTTTCAGTACACAGTAGTACATGGATATATTTAATATGCTGTCACGTATAAATAAGTCTTTAAAGAGAAGGGAGAGTATCCTTCGGGAGGTTTCTATTTTGAGAGCAGTTTCCCAATTCCTTTCAGGTCATAAAGTTCACCAGATGAAAATACAACACTATATCTCTATAAATATAAAGAAAGATTTCAGTAAAATCTATATTCCTTCACATTTTTGACAATTAAATTTGTATAAAGATGCAGAAATAGACACATTTTTTGAAGAAAAACATTTGGAAATATAAGCAACATTCAGCTCATAGATATAAAGAATTTCTCACAGACATAAACACGGTCCTTAAGGAAAGCTCAAGGGTAAGCCCCAGGGAAGGCATGTTTCTCAATGTGGTCATGAAAACCATGCTTGAAAGTTTCCATGGGATGTGGGTCAACTGCACACACAGAAAACCAACCATGTCAAGAGAACCTAAGAAAGTCAAAATTGGATAAGCAGCCCTGCACAGACAAAAAAAAAAAAAAAAAAAAAAACAAAACAAAACAAACCAACAACTGTCCTGCAACATATAGTCAGCCTCTATATCTGTGGGTTCAGCATACATGGATTCAACCAACAGTGCATCAGAAGTATTTGGAAAAAAAAAATTCCACAGAGTTCCACAAAGCAAAACTTGAATTTCTCACATTGAGTCCTATACATTGAATCCATGTGAATAAAGCGATGGGTAGGCATTGCGTTTGGTGTTATACCTAATATAGACATGACTTAAAGTATATGAAAGGGTGTGTGTAGGATATACACAAATACTTTACATGTAGAAGGGACTTGAGCATCCTTGGCTTTTGGTATCCACAAGGGGGTCCTGGAATCAAACCCCACGGCTACCAAGGCATGACTATATAACATTCACTCTTGTATGTCTGTTACTTATTAGCTATCTCCATGATTCTTACAGACAGTCAAGTCCTCTCATCCATTAATTCATTCATAAGAATACCAAATATTTACAGATAACTGCCATGTACCAGGAGTATTCTAGGTGCTGAAGATGCAGTCATAAAGAAACAGATAAATGCCTTCAAGAGATTACATTGCAAAGGGGAGGGGCGACTTATCAGTAGACAAAAATACATGAGACACAACACAGGCAGGCCAAGAAGAGTAAAGATAGGATAGTATTTTCAATAAGGTGCTTGGAGACGACCTCTCCCATGATATTAAAACTGAGCAGAGAGCTGCATAAACTAAAAGAGGGGTCAGTAAGTTTTGTGGGGACAGTGTATTCCAATCAGAGAGAAGAGCAAGTGAGGGCTCGGAGGCAGAAGCTTTTGTAGTAGAGAAAATAATCATTCCTGAAAGATGTCTACATCCAGTCCTCAGAACCTATGAACACGTTATGTTCCACAGCAAGGGAGATTAAAGCTACAGATGCCATTGAGGTCACTAGCCAGCTAAGCAGAAAGTGGGAGGGTCATCCTGAATCATCCAGGAGTGATGAATACTATCACAAGGGACCTGAAAGGTGAAAGAGGAAGGCATAAGAAGAGTGGCAGAGGAAGCATGACTATGGAAGAATGGTCAGGGATGCAATGTAGCTGCTTTTGAAGATGGAGGAAGGGAAACAAGAGCCACGGAGTGTGGACAGTGACTAGAGACTGGTAAACCAAAATGAAGTCTTCTCCCCATGAACATCCAGAAAGGAACAAAGCCCTAAGACCACTTGATTTTTGCCCAGTGAGATGTGTCAGACTTCAGGCCTACAGAAGAGAAAGATAAGTGTTTCTTGTTCAGTCTGCTGAGTTTTATGTCACCGGCCACAATAGGCAATACAATGTCCTTGGCAGGATAGAGAAACAGCAGGGAGGACAAGGTGCCTGGAAAAGATGGAGCAAGGGGGAGAGGACAGGAGATGCAGTCAGACAGTGTGGGATGAAGGGCAGATCACAGGGTCTACAAAAGCCACTTAAAGAGGTTGTAACACTAATAAAAACAAGAAGCCAGAAAGGCTTTGAGCTGAGGAATGGCAATGTGACTTCCGTTTCCTACGGATCACTTTGGCTACCGTAAGAACAGATGGCAGGGTGGGAAGGGTGGGAGCAGGGGCATCAGCAGGGAGAAGGCTGTAATAATCCAGGAAACAGGTTTGGCCATTTACCCCAAAATGCTGGAAATGGGCATGGACAGAAGTAACAGGAATCACATGCAGGGACACACAATTGCTTGGTTCTTACCCAAATTCCCTTCTCTTTGGCTTGTTGTCCCCATCACCCAAAACTTTTCTTCCCTTAGGAAGTGGAAAGTATCTCCATGGAATGGTTGATGCCCTGTGAACAGGCAAAGTCACATGCTTAATCCCAACATGTTCAAGGTAATATCATGTTGGTGCAAACGTAATTGCAGTGTACCATTACTTCCAATGACAAAAACCACAATTACTTTTGCACCAACCTAATAGCCAGGCAAAATTTACTGGAAATGTAGGTTCTCACTGCACACTCAAACTTGAAAACCCTAGGATTAAAAAACCACTCCTGGGGCCTGACATTCCATTACAGGGGGTGCCCGTCCTCACCCACTGAGAGCAGGTTCCTGAAGTTCTCAAGCATCACATCTCGGTACAGCTTCCTCTGGGCAGGGTCCAGCAGCCCCAGCTCCTCCTCAGTGAAGATCACAGCCACATCCTTGAAGGTCACTGCCTCCTACAACATCAAGCAGATGTCACCTCAATCTTACGGCCAAAGACTATTGGGAGACAGCAGCATTGCACTGGCACAAGGGACAAGTGTAAAGTTGTTTTGGATCTTGAGAGACATAGGTCAGCTTATAGATTTCCTACTTATTCTGTTTGTGTCCTGACAATGACTGATTAGGCAATAGGGGTTTGGAATGGAGACTGCACACACCAGTCAACAGGGTGTGTCCTGAATAAATAGTGGGTAAAGGACATTTACTGAGATGCTATCTCTAACTCCACTTCAGGAAAGCTTGCTGCAGAGTTAGAGTGATATAGTCCAAATGCTCTGTTTGAGTCGCGGGCCCTTTGACGAAAATGAGACTGAGGCAGGAGAATCACTTGAACCCGAGAGGCGGAGGTTACAGTGAGCCAAGATTGCACCACTGCACTCCAGCCTAAGCAACAAGAGCGAAACTCTGTAAAAAAAAAAATATATATATATATAGAGAGAGAGAGAGAAAGAAAATAGTAGATAAGGTTAAAAAAATTAAAAAGCAAAAAGCAAACAAACAAAAACTCCTATAGAAGTCCAAGCCCCTGAGCCTTGCCTCAAGGTGCCTTCAATCAAGTCCTAACTTACGTTCTCCACCTGTTCCCAGCTAGTACCTCTGCCTCAATGAGAATTGCATTCAAGAGATGATCAACTCAGGCTCTAACCTGGACTGCCTAGGTTTCAACTCCTGCTCCACCTGTGTCTCACGCCCATCTTTAAAATGAAAAAAGCAGCACCTCTCCACAGTGCCACTGTGAAGATCATGTATTTTGGGGTATAAAGTACTTGGAATAAAGTTACCAATTAAGGCTTAATCATTATCGACACCCATGCCCGAGGGACAAATCCTACACACTCTCGGTTGAGGTAAGCATCTCTGTCAAAGAAAAAAAGCCAAGGATCACTCACGTAGAGCTTTGCCATCAGTAGCCAAGAAGTCCCTTCCTGCAGCTCTTTTAGAAAGGTCGGGCTGGGGAAAAAGAAAGCTGTGAAACACCCTGACCGTTTTGCCGTCCCCCATAAAAGTTAAATGCTCCCCTCACTTTCCTAAAAAGAGGTCAGAAGGCGTCAGGGATCATCCAGCGTCCTGCAGGGATCAGGCAGAAGGGCCGGCGCCCCTGCAGCTGGAGCTCTGACCCCACCAGAGGACCTGACAGGCTTCGTGGGAAATTAACAAGAGACCACCAGACACCGAGTGACAGGGACTGCTTTTAAGGCTCTCATTTGTGTTACCTCTTTCAGGTCCCAAAATGAATCCATTAGGATGGTCCGAAAAGTCCCGTTACAAAACAAACAAACAAACGAACCAGCAATGGAAGATAAACGGACATTAAGTGACACTCCACACCACACTGAAAGGGGCTGCACACGTAGGGAGGAGGGAGGCGGACTAAGCGAGGTCAAAGTAGGGCACACCGGGCCGCGCCAATCCCACTCCCTGAGACCCTAGCAGAGCCCCCCGACGCCAGAAGGCTCAGCTGACTGGAACGGCAATCCCCGCCCGCGCCCCTCCAAACCTCTGCTCTCCGCCCAGGCTTCTTTTCTCCTGAATCGATCATTGGGTGGTTGCGAGCCCCAAGGAAAGGAGACTCGTTCGGAAGGACTCGCAAGATGTGGAAATGACTCAAACTACTGTGGTAAATGAAATAGCAACGTCACAGTTGGGGACCGGAAGTGCTCGAGCCTCCACAGAGCGTGTGGACTCCACTTCCCAGAATTCCCCGGACTCGCCCGTGTGAGACAAAGGGCCCGCGACTCAAACAGAGCATTTGGACTATATCACTCTAACTCTGCAGCAAGCTTTCCTGAAGTGGAGTTGGAGATAGCATTTCAGTAAATGTCCTTTACCCACTGCTTATTCGGGACACACCCTGTTGACTGGTGCGTGCAGTCTCCATTCCAAACCACTATTGCCATTCCTATCGCTTCCATAAAGCCTAAGAAATCAAATATTTTCTTTCTCTGCCTTCATCTAGCTAGAAATTTTCATGGGACACAATTTTGGGAAGTGAGACATTAGGAGAAGTGAGCTGTCCTCTCCTGACAAGAAATGTGCTTGGCAGGCTGTGAGTACACGAGGAGTTGAAAGAGTAAAAAGGTGATCGTCTCAGTGGACTGTAGGTATTGGCGAGGTTCTAATATTACTGATGCTAGCATGCTGGTGGGACCAAGGTGGAAATACAAGTCAAAGTTGTTGGAGAGTAGTGCTGCAAATTATTATGGAGGAATATTTGCTAGAAAATGACGAGGTCTAAAATATGACCATGGGAGAGAGTGTCCCTTGATATTTCACATGAATCTCAGGTGGATTTTTTCATTTCTGAGAAAAATGTTACTGTGATTAAGGATTGCATTGAATCTATAGATATAGGTATTGACAGCCTTGCAATATCAAGTCGCCCAATCCATTAATAATGGATATATCTCCATTTATTTGCGCCTTCTTTAATTTTTTTTTTTTTTTTTTTGAGACAGAGTCTCACTCTGTCGCCCAAGCTGGAGTGCAGTGGCACAATCTTGGCTCACTGCAACCTCCGCCTCCTGAGTTCAAGCGATTCTCCTGCCTCAGCCTCCCAAGTAGCTGGGATTACAGGCACGTACCACCATACCTGGCCAATTTTTGTATTTTTAGTGAAGACAGGGGTTTCACCAGGTTGGCCAGGCTGATCTCGAACTCCTGGCCTCAAGTTATTCGCCTGCCTGGGCCTCACAAAGTGCTGGGATTACAGGCATAAGCCACCATGCCTGGGGTGCCTTCTTTAATTTTCTTTAGTAAGATGTTGCAAAATTCAGTGTCCAAGTGTTTCTTGTCATTGGTTAAGACAGTTCCTAAGTAATTTATTTATTTAATGCTATTGCAAAGGGAACTATTTTCCTTTTCAGATTAATTGTTTTTGTATAGAAATACAACTGCTTCTTCTATGTAGATATTTTTCCTGCAACTTTCTGACTTTACTAGCTCTAAGAGTTTTTTTTTCTTGTGAATTCTTTAGAATTTTTATATATAAGAACATGTCATTAGCATATAGACAATTTTACCTCTGTTTCCAATTTTAATAGCTTTATTTTCTTTTTCTATCTAATTGTTCTGCATAGAACTTCCAATACTACATTGACTAAATGTGGGAAAAGTGGAGAAAACTCATTGTGTTCCTGATATTAGAAGAAAAGCTTTCAGTCCTTCACCATTGAGTATGACAATCAGCTCTGAGAATTTCCATATATAGCCTTTATTTTGCTGGGGTAGTTTATTCTCCTTCTAGTTATTTGGTATTTCAATCATGAAAAGGTGCTAGGTGCTGAATTTTGTGAAACTGAATGTTCTGCATTCACTGACATGATGTGATTTATACCTTCCACTCTGCTCATGTGGAGTATTACATTGATATTTGTATGTTGAACCATAATTATATTCGCCTTCCAGGAATAAAACAGTTCGGTCACTAAGTGTAATCCTTTTAATATGCTGCTGGATCTTGCTGGTATTTTGCTGGTGAATTCTTGCATCAGTATTCATAAGGGATATTGGTGTATAATTTTATTGAATTGTCTTTTTCTGGTTTGGCATCAGGGTAATACTGACCTGACAGAAGGATCAAAGAAGTGTTCTCTCTTCTTGCATTTTTGGGAAGAGGTTGAGCAGCTATGGTGTTAAATGTTCCTTAAATGTGTTGAAGCGTTTGCCAGTGAAGCCATCTGATCCTGGGCTTTTCTACATTGGGAGGTTTTGGATTACTGATTCAATCTCCTTACTAGTTAGAGGTCTACTCAGATTTTTTTGTCTTCATAATTCAGATTTGGTAAGGTGTATGCTTTAAGGAATTTGTCTATTTCATCTAGTTATACAAATTCTTGGCATACAATTGTATATAGTATTCTATTACAATCATCTTTATTTCTGTAAAAATTGGTAATAATGTCCCCTCTTGTTTCTGATTTAGTTTCTTGAGCCTTCTGTCTTCATTTTTTATTCAATCTCACTGAAGTTTTCATAATTTTCTTATGAAAATAACCAACTCTTGGTTTCATTGATTTTCTTGGTTTTTCTATTCTCTATGTATCATTGCTTTAATGTTTATTATTTCCTTCCTTCCACTAGCTTTCTTATTCAGATTCTTTTTTGTAGTTCATGAATGTAAAATAGGGTTGTGAATTTGAGATATTTCTTCTTTTTTAATTTAAGTATTTACAGGTACAAATTTCACACCTATTACTGCTTTTTTTCTCATCCCACCAATTTTGACACATTGCTTTTATTTTTAGCTCTCTCCAGATATTTCTAATTTTACTTTTAATTTAGTCTGACATGTAGATTATTTAAGAATGTGTTGTTTCATTTCCACATACTTGTGAATTTTCCACTTTTCATGCTGCTATTGATTTCCAGGGTTTTTTGGCTAGGTTATAATTGGAAAAAAATATTTCCTATGGTACTAAAGTTTTAAATTTATTAAGACAATAAATTTAGTTTAATTAGTTCCCACTTGTCAACTTTAGTTTTATGACATAATATATGGCCTATCCTGGAGAGTGTTTCATGTATAAATAAGAAAATGTGTATTCTATTGTTGTTGTTGTATGAGGTATTCTGTATATGTCTTTTAGGTCCAATTGGTATGTAGGGTTTTTCAAGTCCTTTATTTCATTATTATCTTCTGTCTGGTCTTCTTATCTATTTGAAAGTGAGGTATGCAATGTCATTCCTCACAGAATTATAAAAAACTATTATAAAATTCATATGGAGTTGACTCCTTAGTGGAGTAGGCAGCACATTGGTCTCATAAAATTCATATGGAACCAAAAAAAGAGCCTGAATAACCAAAGCAATCCTCACCAAAAAGAACAAAGCTAGAGGCATCACACTATCAACCTTCTGACTACTGTAAGCCTACAGTAACCAAAACAGTATGGTACTGGCACAAATACAGACATATAAACCAATGAAACAAAATAGAAAACTCAGAAATAAAGCCACACACCTACAACTATCTGATCTTTGACAAAGGCAACAAAAACAAGCAACAGGGAAAGGACTCTCTATTCAATAAATGGTGCTGGGATAACTGGCTAGCCATATGCAGAAGAATGAAACTAGACCCTTACCTTTCACTATACACAAAAATTAACACAAGATGGATTCAAGATTTAAGTATAAGACCCCAAACTACAAAAATCCTACAAGAAAATAACAGAAAATACCCTTCTCGACATCAGCATTGGCAAAGAATTTTTGGCTAAGTCCCCCAAAAGCAGTTACAAGAAAAGTAAAAGTTGACAAGTGGGAACTAATTAAACTAAAGAGCTTCTGCACAGCAAAAGAAACTGTAACAGACAGCCTACAGCATGGAGAAGATATTCACAAACTATGCATCCAACAAAGGTCTAATATCCAGCATCTATAAGGAACTGAAACAAATCAACAAGCAAAAACCAAATAACACCATTAAAAAATAGGCAAAGGACATGAACAGACAGTTCCCAAAAGAAGAAATACACACAGCCAACAAACATATGAAAAGATGCTCATCATCTCTAACCATTTTAGACAACTGCAAATCAAAACCACAATGAGACACCATCTCACAGCAGTCAGAATGGCTATTAAGTCAAAAAACAACAGCTGGCAAGGCTGTAGAAAACAGGGAATGCTTATACACTGTTGATAGGAATGTAAATTAGTTCAGTCACTGTAAAAAGCAGTTTGCAGATTTCTCAAAGAACTTAAAATGGAACTACAATTCAACCCAGCAATCCTATTACTGGATATATACCCAAAGAAAAATAGATTATTATACCGAAAGACACATGCACTTGTATGTTAAGCACCATGGAATGCTATGCAACCATAAAAAAAGAATTGAAATCATGTCCTTCGCAGTAACGTGGATGGAGCTGGAGGACATAATCCTAAGTGAATTAACATAGGAACAGAAAACCAAATACTGCATGTTCTCACTTATAAGTGGGAGCTAAATATTGAGCACACATGGACATAAACATGTGAACAATAGTCACTGTGAACTAGTAGAGGGGGGATGTAGGGTGTGGGGCGTGTGTTGAAAAACTACCTATTGGATACTATGCTCACTATCTTGGTGCAATATACCCATGTAACAAACCTGCACGTATACCCACTGTATCTAAAATAAAAGTACAAATTTTAAAAAAGAAAGTGAGGTATGAAGTGTCCTACTACAGTTGTTCCTCAGTTTACAGGGGCGATTGTTTCCAGGAGCTCTGTATATACCAAAATCCACACATACTCAAGTTTATGGAACCTGTGCATACAAAAAGTTGGCCCTCCATATATTAGGTTTTCACATCCTATGAATATTGTATTTTCAATGTGTGTTTCACTAAAAAAAAATCCACATATAATTGGACCTGTGAAGTTCAAATCCATGTGGTTCAAGGGTCAACTGTATTACTGGGGAGCTGCCTATTTCTCTCTTTAATTCTGTATTTGCTTCATGTAATTTGGAGCTCTGATGTGTGGTGCACATATGTTTATAACTGCTATATCTTCTTGGTGGAATCACCCTTTAGCATTATATAGTTTTTCTTTGTCTCTGCCACTCTTTTCTGCCACTCTTTCTGTCTTTTTGTTACTATTGATATGGAAAAACTTTCCCATCATTTCACTTTAAGTCTATGCATGTTATTAGATCTAAAGCAAATCCCTTGTGCAGAGCATACACTTGGATACTGTTTTTTTCAATCATTTTACCAAACTACATCTTTTGGTTAGGGTGTTTAATTCATTTATGGTAAATCAATTATTCATAGGGAAGGTCTTACCATTTTATTTGTTTCTATATGTCTTCTGGCTCTTTTGCCTCATATCCTCCATTACTGCCTTCCTTGATGTTGATTTCTTTCTCTGTAGTGATACATTTTGAATCTCTTCTCATTTCCCTTTGTGTATGTTTCATTAGTATCTGTAGTTAGAAACATGTAACATTTCTGATTCATGGACTTACATGTAACATTCTACATGTAACATTCTAAAGTTGTAGCAAACTGTTTTCCATGGATACCAGCTTAACTTCAATCACGTGCAAAAACACTACTCATTCACAGCTTCTCCTTCTCCCCACTTTGTACAACTGATGTCATATATTATGTCTATACATATTGTCTACCCATTCACATAGATTTATCTCTCAAGTTTGAAGGACAGTTTGGCTGAATGTTGAATTCTCAATAGACGTGTGTGTGTATGTATGGTGTGTATGTGTTTTTAGCAAAGAATATATCAGCTAGTCTCAGATGTTTGCTGAGAAATCTGCTGACATCTTCATTAAAGATTTCTTTGTACATGACAAGTCACTTTGGACTTGCTGCTGTCAAATTTTTCGCTTGTCTTTGGTTTCCAACAATTTTTAAATAACATGTCTCAGTTGGGTACCTTTGGGTTTATCTTACTTGAAATGCATTGAGCTTCTTGGATTTACAGAATGATGTGTTTTTCATATTTGAGAAGTTTTCAGCTTTTATTTCTATAAGTAATCTCTCTTGGCTTTCTTTCTCTCTACCCAGGACACCTATAATGCACATGTGGTCCTTTAGGCTTTGTTTACTTTTAATCACTTCATTTCTTTTTGCTGCTGTGACACAATAATTCATAGGACTTGTCTTCATGTTCACTCATTCTGAAGATAACATAGTAGGAGTAGGGGTCATGGGCCTTAGATACACTTATCTGTGGCTTCAGAGCCTGCTCAAACCCAATCATACATATACCACTTACAAATGGAATACCGATGTGCACATACAATTTAAAGACAAGGAAGGGCCAACAACACCCAATTCATGATGGAAAGCTTGGCACGCATGCTAATTTGGTAGGTCATGGTTAAGTGCTCTGTCTCTGCTAAGACCACTAGCAAAATCATAGGCTGCTTTTCCAAAGAAGAGTAAGTAGGCTGGGGGTGGGGGCTCATACCTGTACTCATTGCTTTGTGAGGCTGAAGAATGAGAATCTCTTGATGCCAGGAGTTCAAGACCAGCCTGGGCAACAAAGCAAGGCCCTGTCTCTACCAAAAAGAGAAAGAGTAAGTATATGTAGAGGATGACTGGGCTTTGCTACAAAATCCTATCCATCTGTGGTTTGATTCATCAAATGTGACCAGCCAGTGGCTCCAAACATCACTCTCTGTCACTGATATTTCAATTACTTTTGGATCTCCTGGTCCACAGTGTCTTAGGGGTAGAGAAACTTACATGGCAGCCAGGATACATTACACAGCCTTATGGTATCTTAGTTGAGGCAAAATGTTTTTGGGTCAGACAAAAAAAGGCAGAGTAGCATATCCCAGCGAGGCATAAGTAGCATCCAGCAGCCAAGGAGGGCCACTAGACATTGTGACACTTTGTTTGGTTGTAGGAAGTACCATATGCTACTTGTCCTATATCTTAGAAGGGATATCTCAATAGTCCCACATCAGTGAACCTATGGAAATTTCACCAAAGTGGAAGGCCCATGAATATTTATAGGATTTATTCTTCCTTTCTGTCATGTATGTGTCTTACTAATATGCCTAGTGTAGTTCCTACTTTCTCCTCACCATGTCTGATCATCATATCAATGTGCCATTTGACAATAAGGATTCAGTCATTGCCCAAAAGAGTGATTATTTCTCCTTTTATGTACTCAGTCACAGGTTTATGCCCATGGTTTCCTATGGAGAACTCTGAAATGTATCAGGGCCCATACTCATCTAACATTGGCCTCCCCTTTATGTAAATGAATGTGGATTTGTAAACTGGACATGTCTTGGAATTGATTTGAGGGCTGTGACTGTGTTAGGTGGTTGCAGTTAGAGTTCTCTTCCCCTGCAATAGAACTCTTCTGACAACACAAACCCAGTGACAGTATCATAGATTTCCCATCAATTTATTTACTGTGAATACCAAGATCAACAAGGCATAGTTAAGCCCTGCATAGTGATTGACCTCATCTTTTTCTTTCCTTCTTTTTTTTTTTTTTTTTTTTTTTTTGAGATGGAGTCTCGCTCTGTCACCCAGGCTGGAGTGCAGTGGCGTAATCTCGGCTCACAGCAAGCTCTGCCTCCCGGGCTCATGCCATTCTCCTACCTCAGCCACCCAAGTAGCTGGGACTACAGGTGCGTGCCACCACAGCTGGCTAACTTTTTTGTATTTTTAGTAGAGATGGGGTTTCACCGTGTTAGCCAGGATGGTCTCGATCTCCTGACCTCGTGATCGACCCTACTCGGCCTCCCAAAGTGTTGGGATTACAGGCGTGAGCCACAGCGCCCAGCCTTCTTTCCTAATTTCTGAAGCCCAACTAGGAGCATCCAGAAAATACTACTATACTGATAAGTTTGTCTACTGTGTCCTAAACTAACAAATTCATGGTCACCAGAATCATTCCAATAGGCATTTGATTAGGATTATTCAGTATGATATTTGGCATATTATCACACCATGCCTTTCACAACCAGTTCCCTATGTTGCACTGGAAATAAAGTCAATAGTGCTCTTAAATTTAGTAAGAGTAGAAATCCAATTCTAGAAAACACAATCAATTTAGAAAACTCATCCTTAGGGTGCTCTTCCTCTAGAAGTTCTTGTGGGGCAAAATGTCTTTTGGTCAGCATTCAACCAGAGAAACAGAATCAGTATGACATATACAAGCAATTATTGCAAGGAACTCTACTTTGGCACGGTGGAACTGGCTAAGTCTATTAGTCTGTTCTCACACTGCTATAAAGAGCTACCTGGCTGGGTGCAGTGAGCTCACACCTGTAATCCCAGTACTTTGGGAGGCCAAGGCAGGTGGATCGCCTGAGGTCAGGAGTTCGAGACCAACCTGTCCAACATAGTAGAAACCCCGTTTCTACTAAGAATACAAAAATTAGTCTGGGCATGGTGGCACACATCTGTAATCCCAACTACTCGGGAGGCTGAGGCAGGAGAATAGCTCGAACCTGGGAGGCAGAAGTTGCAGTGAGCCGAGATCGTGCCACTGCACTCCAGCCTGGGTGACAAAGCAAGACTGCATCTCAAAAAAAAAAAAAAAAAAAAGAACTACCTGAGACTGGGTAATTTATGAAGAAAAGAGGTTTAATCGACTCACAGTTCTACAGGCCGTACAGGAAGCGTGGCTAGGAGGCCTTAGGAAATTTACAATCATGATGGAAAGTGAAAGGGAAGCAAGCATGTCTTACCATGGCAGAGCAGGAGAGAATGAGAGCAGGAGGAGGTGCTACACACTTTTAAAACAAGCAGATCTCATCAGAATTCCATAAAAAGACAGCACTAGGGGGATAGATGCTAAATCATTAGAAACAGCCCCCATAATCCAATCACCTCCCACCAGGCCCCACCTCCAACACTCAGGATCACAATTCAACATGAGATTTGGGTGGGGACACAGAGCCAAACCATATCACTAAGCAATTCCAAAATGCATATGGCTGGCCACCAGAAAGGTGAAGATGGGACTCTAACCCATGAGAGGAAGATGCCACCAGAAGATGCAATATTTTTTTCATTCAGAGAAGCTTCAGCTCTATTCTGAAGGATCTTCATGTGATTGATCAGGCCTACCCTTATTTAGCATAATATCCCTACTCAAAGCCAACTGATTATGGGCTGAATGTCTACAAAATACCATCACAATGTCTATATTAGTGCTTGATTAAATAGGGACTATAGTCTATGCACTATAAATCCATTAAAATCAATTATCCCACAGATGTTCATCAGCAGGAAACTGCCTTTTGAGTTTTTCAAATTTTTTTTGTATCTTTTCCTCAGGATCTACAGAAAAGTGTTTAATGAAAAAAATAATATTCAGTGCACAAGAGTACTACAGACATTAAAGATAAGATTGGAAGTCAATTTATTAAGAAAACCTTTAATATTGTCAAATCAGAGCAATCTCATTAGAATCTAGCATGCTTAGTATATTCATTTTGTAAAATCTACATTCCTCTTCCTTTCCCAGGTCTCTCTCTAGGAGAGAATTAACTGAAGAGTCTGGCACTGTTTTCAACTGATAAGAGACATTTACCATTTACCATGGAGTCTTCATTTGCATAATAAAAACCTTGGTCTCCACAACCCTTTCTCATAATCCAGACACTCCTTTCTATTGATTCCAGGCCTTTAGATAACTCTTTGAACCAACTGCCAATGAGAAAATCTTTGAACCCACCCAAGACCTGGAAGCACCTCCATGGCCAACTTTGAGTTGTCCCGCCTTTCCAGACCAAATCAATGTATACCTGTATTGACTGATATCTGCCTGTAACTTCTGTCCCCCTAAAATGTATAAAACCAAGCTATAACCCAACCACTTTGGGCACATGTTCTCAGGACCTTTTATGGCCTTGTCATGGGCCTTGGTTACTCATATTTGGCTCAGAATAAACCTCTTTATATTTTATAGAGTTTGACTCTTTTTGTCAACACCATGGTATATAACTCTGAATTGGCATCCAAACCAGGTCTTTGTTCTAACTGGATCCATAGCAACAGAAGCTCTGCTGCTGTCATACTATGTTCCCTGCCCATACACCTCTGGTTTTCAAAGGATCTGTTTGTTTTTTTTTAATTTTTTGAGATGGAGTTTTGCTCGTTACCCAGGCTGGAGTGCAATGACGTGATCTGGCTCACTGCAACCTCTGCCTCCTAGTTTCAAGTGATTCTCCCACCTCAGCCTCTTGAGTAGCTGCGATTACAGGCATGTGCCACCACACTCGGTTATTTTTGTATTTTTAGTAGAGACAGGGTTTCACCGTGTTGGCCAGGCTGGTTTCGAACTCCTGACCTCAGGTGAAGATCTGTTGCTTTAAAAGACAAAAAACAAACAACCTTCACACATATGTATATCTATTTCAATCTCTGAAATCACCTTTGTAAAAATTATAACAGTGAGAACATTATGACAGTGCAAGAGATCTCATCTAACCAACTCCATCTTGCTTTTAACCACCAAACTGCCCTTGGTAGTAATTCCTGGGCGTGGGCCCAGCTAACTTGGGGAGGAATTTAGTTTATAATTTAAATGGTAATAGCCCTTCCCCCAAACTAAACTGCCTTTGTAATACTATTGAAAGGCCCCACTAGTTTACGAGGATGAGAGGGGCCTGAATTCTAAGATATATGTGTAAAGGATTACCAGTCATTATTCTGATTTCCAGCTGTTATTCCAGAGGTCTTAAAATTTGCAAATTCCCCAGTTACTCCAGTAAATAACACCACTATTGTAGAACCTAAGACTGGCCTTTTGAGATGTCTTTTCAGGCTTCTGCATTTCTGACAACCAGATGGCCCCACCTAAACCCATGACTCTTGACTCAACTGGTCCTGTGGCCCCCACCCAGAAGTGGACTTAATGCACAAGGACCATTTTTCACATCCCCAGCCAACCAGCAGCACCCATTCCCTAGCCCCCTGCCTGTCAAACTATCTATGAAAAACCCTAGCCTCCAAATTTTCAAGGAGGCTGATTTGAGTAATAATAAAACCCTTGTCTCCCATTTAGCCAGTTCTATGTGTATTAAATTCTTTCGCTATTGTGAATTCTCTGTCTCGATAAATCAGCTGTGTCTGGGCACTGGGCAGGATCTCCAGTATTTGCACACTCCCTGACTTATCCCTAAAGAAGCATCACATGCTTTAATTACCAAGACAGTTAACCAGACTTCATCACTTTATCTGCATATTCTAAAAACCAGAGAATATATATATATTTTTGAGACAGAGTCTCACTCTGTTGCTCAGGCTGGAGTGCAGTGGCATGATCTCAGCTCACTGCAAGCTCTGCCTCCTGGGTTCACACCATTCTCCTGCCTCAGCCTCCCGAGTAGCTGGGACTACAGGCGCCCGCCACCACCTGGATAATTTTTTGTGTTTTTAGTAGAGATGGGGTTTCACCGTGTTAGCCAGGTTGGTCTCGATCTCCTGACCTCATGATCCACCACCCTCAGCCTCCCAAAGTGCTGGGATTACAGGCGTGAGCCACTGCGCCTGGCCCAACCAGAGAGTATTTCACTTTGAAATGACTTCAAAATGCCCTAGTCATTGTGAACTTACATCATATGACAATATAGAGCAATTTTATTCTGAGATTCTGAGTCCTGGTAGGTAAGTGATTAACGTTAATAAGTTTGCAAATTTATTGCACTAAATTTACTGCTTTGATAAAACTGATGTTCACTGAGAAAAAATGCATAAAATTATAAAATGGAAAAATACCAGCAAATATTCATTGCCAGAGGAAAGAATAGTTGTTCACAAATTACGTATATACACATTAAAAAGTCCCAGAAACACACAAAGATATTTGATTATGTTATGAAGGTTACAGTCAGATTTCACAAAGCTCACATTATGTTTTTCTCCTTTTACTGTATGTCTGGTTCCCTCATTTTATTGGTCTTATGTTATAGGAATAAATGCATTTCACACAAATTCTTGTTGAATACTTATTCCATTTTAAAATGGGGTGATATCATCCATGTGGTTTTCTACTTTTCACAGTTTTAACATCATAATCATAATTTCCTATCCCATCATTTCCAGGTAAAACACTTGTACCTTATACATTCTGATATACACTGCTTACAAAAGACTTATTTTTACTGCCAACAATAAAGAAGAGCATGTAAATGTCACTCCTACCCCAATCATGGATACATTTCATGAAATTACCAAACTCCGATAGGTTTCTCTTGGTATTTCATAGAGATAGGAAGAGAATATTAGGTTAGGTTTCCAAAAATTGTCAAATTGGCATAGCTTCTACCTGAGTTGTTTGATAAAATAAATGCTACCACAATTAGAAGGCCATTATATCAAGGCCTGCATGGAAATACAGAAGCAATCATGAGAATTCAGAACTAAGGAAGTTTTTTCCAACGTAACTACATCTGCCACGTAAAAAGTATTACTATAAATTTTGCCTTAACACTGTTGAAAAAAATGTAATTGTGATATATGCAGTGGACTGTTATTGACAAGTTAACAAACCATTTTCAGCCTGTAGTGTGAGAAGAGTTACAAATGATTGTTGAATTTATATTGTATGCAACCAATGGAGCATTAGACAAAGCCACTAGTAGTAAACTTCAGAACAGAGGATGAGGGGAAGCCAGCAGCCAAGTGCAACAGGGTAAGATTACCCAAAATAATGCTTTGGATTGCAGAACTGAGTGTATTCTGCATTTTAACTCGTGTCCCTGAATTATTTTTTGTAGATTTTCTCTCCTAGATGCAATTTTAAAATATCATATTTTCTCCTTTTGAGTCATTTAACACATACTAAACATGTAAGTGCTAATCAGTGTTAAGGTCCTGAGGATGCAGAAAACAAGGTACCTGTAGTTGACATTCTAGTGGTCACCACTTTTGACATGTTCATCATTAGGGTTTTGTAAATGTGTGAACAAACTCTTATTCTAAGGCCTGTCTCCTGAATGACAAGCGTAAGTTCTGTTTGCAACCCTACTGCACAATTTACAAGAGTTCTCTACTACGATGGTCCTAGGATGATGGGAGAATGCTGAGCTATGGTGAAACACTGAATTTAACTTAAACAAATGTTTTCTGTCCTACAAGCCTGGATGAAATATATTATCAGTATGGACTGTGATAAATTATGATATAAACACACACTGAAGTGCTTACCATATGCCTCTTTTTAATGTTTTGCCCCTTTGTGAACTCTCAAATGAGATTATAGACAACTGAGCAGAGACTTTATCACACACCTCATTACTAAGGATTCTGTCCAACGTGGACACTCTGGTGCAGTTGAGGACTTGAGGCCTGAGGTGGTATGAAGCCATATCACCCTAGCCACACTTCCATAGTTTTGCTCTTGTGTCAAGCCTCTGAGGCATAAGATTCGAGTGATCTAGCAATCCCACTATTGAGTATATCCAAAGCAAAGGAAATCAGTATGTGGATCAGATATCTACACTACCATGTTCATTGGAGCACTATTCTTCACAATAGTTAAGATATGGAACCCACCTATGTGTCCATCAATAGATAAATGAAGAAAAGGTGGCATATATACACAATAGAATACTCTTTGGGCATAAAAAGAAAACAAAATTGTGTCATTTGTGGCAACATAGATGAGCTTTGGAGGACATGTTAAACAATATAAGCTAAGCAAGGTAAGATAAATACTAACTGTCCTCACACACATATGGAAGCTAAAAAAGTTGATTTCATAGAATTAGTGAGTAAAACAGTGGTTCTAGAAGCAGGGAAGTGTAGGGGTTAGGTGAGATAGCCAAAGATTGGGTAACAAGATACATAAGTACTGCTAGATAGGAGAAATACATTCTAGTGTTCTAAAGCACCAAAGGTGACTATAATCAACAATAATTTATTGTTTCTTTTCAAATCGCTAGAACAATGGATTTTGAATTTTCCCAAAACAAAGAAATGTTAATTGTTTAAGGTAATACACTAATTACATCAATTTGATCATTACGTATTATATACACATATTAAAATTTCATACCATATCCCATATATATGTACAACTTACATATCATTTAAAAATAATGATAAAATTATATCCAGATTCAAGCGCCTCTTGTAGCGCTTCCCACAGTCCTCACATTTGGATGAGTTTTCTCCATTGTGGTCTCCTTGTTGGTCTTTACAGAAAGACCGGTGTACAAGCCTCTTTCCACAATCCTCACATTTGAAGGGTTTTTTCCGGCAGTGGAGTTTCTTATGATTCAAAATACTTGAAGCCCGGCTAAAGCTCTTCCCACATTCCTTACAATTATAAGGTCTCTCTCCAGTATGGACCCTCTGGTGCAAGTTAAGACCTGACTTACTAATGTAGCCCTTCCCACACTCCTCACATCTGTATGGTTTTTCTCCACTGTGGATTCGCTGATGGATCAAAAGATATGAGGACCATCTGAAGCTCTTCCCACATTCTTTACAATTGTACGGTTTCTGTCCTGTGTGAATTATCTGATGCTTATGCAAATCTAGGCTATCAGTGAAGCCTTTTCCACACTCCTCAGATTTGTACAGTTTCTCTGCTGTGTGGACCATGCAATGCCTATTAAGACTTGACCTAAGGCAGAAGCTCTTACCACATATTTCACATTTGAACGGCTTCTCCCCAGTATGAATTATCTGATGTTTCTGAAGCTGGAAATCGTGAATGAAGGCCCTCCCACATTTCTCACAAATATAAGGTTTCTCTCCTGTGTGTAATTTGCAGTGAACTTGAAGTATCGCTCTACATCTGAAGCCTTTCCCACATTGCTCACATTTGAATGGTTTCTCTCCAGTGTGGACTCTCTCACGAGTTTGCAGACATGAGCTCTGACTGAATTCCTTACCACGCATGTCACACTTAGAGAGTTTCTCTCTCAAGTGAACTCTCTGGTGAATACGAAGAGCTGAGATGTAACAGAAGCTTTTTCCACACTCATTGCATGTATGAGACTTCTCTCCTGAGTGGAACTGCTGAGGAGGATCAAAGATGGCAACATCACTGAAGGACTGTTTACACTTCCCATTCTGTGAAGGTTTCTGTCCTGTATGAATTATAGATAGTCCTGCCTCAACCTGGGAGGGGACATCACCTTGTTCAAAGAAGTGAGAATTATTTATGATGGAGTCTTGAGACTGGGTTAAGTCACTTGCAGTTTGTTCCCAGATTTGCTGGCAAGGGCAGTCTTCATGTGGTCCTGCTTCCGCAATAGTCTTGCCGCCTATAAGGACACAGAATGAAGAGATGTGGACAAATGAAGCCTTTGTTTGGTGTTTTTAAGATTTCACACTTAGGATATGGCATTCAACTTTAATGAATGTTCAGTTTATGTTTTCCCCATGAATCTTGTTTTCTGGTTTGTATGTGACCAATTTATAACCACACCATGTCTCATATGTAAAATCCTTGATGGAAATAACAGACTCCATTAAAAAACTGATATAATATATACATTTAATTTGTTACTATTTCTAAGGAATTTTCTGGTCAGTCAAAAATCTTGCATGATAAATTACTAAATTAAAACATTATGTTCATAGTGAAATATAAATCAAAAGGAAATTTAAGGAAAAACAATAACAAAATCAATAGTTTATATATCTGTGTTTATGTTGTATATCCTTATATAGAAGTTACCCTAAGTAAAAAGAAGTCAGAACTTTGTCCTCAGCATCTGAGAGGTAATCTCTAGGATCCTGACATATCATGCGGGAGGACAGTGTCTTTGTTTGTTAGGGTGCCAACTCTGGATCACTCTGGATAGTGAAACAATATGATTTAGGGTTGTGGCTGGCCACTCCTTTCGAGGGTGAGGGGTGGGAGACCGTCCTCCCCATGTCAGAAAGAACAAAAGTGTTGTTTAATCTGTGAAGTCTGTTATTTGTTACCAGCAACAGGGAATACAGTGTCCATGACAGGACAGAGTAACAGCAGGGAGGACAACGTGGCTGGAAAAGATGATGCAAGGGCGAGAGGACAGATGTAGTCAAGAGGCAGCAGGGGATGAAGAACAAACCTCAGGGTCTCTAAAAGCCAATAAAGAGGTTGTAACTTTAATAACATTAATAAACCATAAAGGCTTTTGGACCAAGGAGTGGAAAACTGACTTGCATTTCCCAAGGATCATTTTGGCTGCTCGGGGGAAAATAGATGTCAGGGTGGAAGGGAGGGAACAGGACCACCAGCCAGAAAGGGGTTGTAATAAACCAGGAAAGAGATTGGGCAATTTAGATCAGGGTGATATAAGTGGGCATGGTCAGAAGTAAAACAAATGGGAAAGAAAGTCATGTACAAGGACACACAGTTGCTTGCTTCTTACCTGAATTTCCTTCTCTTTGGGTTGCTGTCTCCATCATCCAAAACTTTTCTTCCCTTAGGAAGTGGAAAGGGTGGAATGGTTGATGCCCTGTGAACATGCAAAGTCATGTGCTTAATACCAATTCATTCTAGGTAATATCAAGGTAAAATTTACTGGAAATTTAAGTTCCCACTGCATACACAAACTTGAATACTCTAGGATACAAAGCCACTCCTGAGGCCTGATGTACCATTACAGAGGGTGCCTGTGCTCACCCACTGACAGCAGGTTCGTGAAGTTCTCAAGCATCACGTCTTGGTACAGCTTCCTCTGGGCAGGGTCCAGTAGCCCCAGTTCCTCCTCAGTGAAGAACACAGCCACATCCTTGAAGGTCACTGCCTCCTATAACATCAAGGATACATAACCTCAATCCTATGACCATGGACTACTGGGGGAGGAGCAGCATTGAGCAGGCGGAGAGGAGAAGTGGAGGTCAACTTATAGATTTCCCACTCATTCTGTCTGTATCCTGACAGTGATTTTCCTGAGCTCCACCAGAAGTGCAATCATGAAAAAGACCTCCTGTATTTTTACTTTGTGCACTTACTGAGTCTCCTTGTAAGTAACCCCTTAGGATTTCAAATGGTGCATCCTGGGCTACACCTATATAGGTTTCAATGAATTTTGCCAATTGCCCCAGTTGCCCCAGCAACAATGAGCAATTCAGTCTCAACCTTGTTTGATGAGGCTTATTGTCCTCCTCTCTCAGACCCAAACCCTGGATGCTATCACTTTTCTTTAGTATTTGCCAAACTAACAGGTTTTAGGTAACTATTTTCAAAGTAGCCTTGGATCCATTCTCCCCACTTTCTTGTTTATAGGTCTCAAGAATAACCATAAATGTGCTAGTTATGCAGTGTCCTTCCCAGGGAAGATAACATCTTTTTATTTTTTTTTATGCCTTCTTTGGTTCTAGTCCAATCCATAAAAGATAATATCTTGAGTTAGAGAGGAACTGCTCAGTAAGTCATGTTACCCCTGAGGCATATAGCCTGGGACAGGCTGCCTCTTGGGGTGCCTCAGCTATGGTGCAAATGGGGCAAGTGCAGTCGTGACTCCACCCACTCTAGGCAGCTTTCTTAAGCCTTGGAGGACTGGCTCACAGTGGATCATAGGCTTCTGTTGTCCCTTGCTACCTACATGTAATAAATCTGCTTTATGTAATTTGTCATACATGAGTGTGCTCTCTCATGGTAGACTCGCCAAGTCTGTAACTAGTGAACCTGTTCCATGGAATTGGTGCAGCCAGCAGGGTCCAATTTGACAGAACTCTGGACTGGCAAAGGGGGAGCACTTATATCCTGGGCAATTGGCCCAGTGCTGTGATGGCAGCCTGGGGGCGCAGGCTGGACAGCAGCTTGATGATTTATAAAGAAGACAGAATGATAAGCGGGACACAGGCCACCCCTCCACAGATGTGAGCTGGCTGCATGGATTGAGACAGAAGGACAGAATACGGAAACACAGGAGCTTGGTGTGTGATCCGCTGATTGCGACACCTTAAATAATAGCTCATTCCTGGGGCCAGAGGACTCAGGAGGTGGGTGAAGTGGGTCAGAGGGTCCCTGGAGCATCTAAGAGAAATGGAGCCAACATGCGCAATGTGGGCCTCCACAGAAAGGGGGACTAACTATCTGATGGACAAGTATGAAGAAAACCAGAAGGACATGTTATCTTGGTGTATAGAGCACTCTTGACATAAGGAACTCCATCATCAATACAAATACAGTTATGAATGTACAAGGAACAGCACAAGAAGAAAAATCAGGCTAATTTGAGAGCAAGGAGGTGAAGAAGTGGGAGCACTGTTCATTCCTACTAATTTTTCTACTCCATAATGTAACAGTAAAAAACAAAACAAAACCCAAACCAAAAACCAAATGCAAAGTCAACACAAAAGAGACAAAGGAAGCAACTGGCACACAACAGGTCCCAAATGCCCATTTCCTCCTTGAGTCTTCCCAAGACAGAGAAAAATATATGACAATATGAGCAATAAGATGGAATTTTAATAGCAAGAGAGGTGAGCTCTACTCACCTTGAATGTGGTCATTTTTCCTACTACTTTTTGGAGTCTTCAGTGTCTTGAGTAATGGAGCACAAAGGAAGGTGGAATTGTGCCTGGAAAATGCCAGAGACAGCAAAAGAGAGACATGAAATGGTGGCTGGGGAGGCTGTGTAGCAACAAGCACATGTATTATGAATGATCACAGCAGCATTATTCATACTAACCCCAAAACTGTGCACAACCAAAATGCCTTCCTCTGGGTAAATGGATAGAAAAATCATGGCATATCCATATAATGGAATCTAATTTGGAAATTAAAAGGAATGAAGTACCAACCCATGCTACAACATGCACAAACCTTGGAAACATCATAAGAGAAAGAAGCCAGTCACCAAAATCCATGGATTAGATGATTCCATTTATATGAAATGTCCGAATAGGCAAATGTATACATAGAGGAAAAGTAGGTTAGTGGTTGCTCCAGATTTGGGGTGAGAATGAGGTTTAATTGTAAATGGGCACAGAGTCCAACTGAGGGTGAAAAATAACTAAACTGAATTATGATGATGGTTACTCCACTTTACAAAGTTCCTAAAGATCACTGTACTCCTGAAATGAGTGAATGCTTTATGTAAAATATACCTCAATAGAGTTGAAAAAAAATTGCTAATCCACATGTCATTTACCTTCATAAGACTGAATTCTGAGTCCATATTGTTGGGAGATTTATACTTGAACAAACAAATGAATAAATGAAGAGAACTAGAAGTTCATCTTTAGTAGAATGCCCACTAATAATGTACCTTCCAATAAGAAACTTGAGTTTTTTTAAAAAAGGTAACTTTACAGCGGACAAATCTGAAAGGCATCATCTTGGCCAAGTGAACACAGTTGAGATCACCAGTGAAGGGACAAACCACATCATGTGAACCCTGTTATGTTGCAATAAAGAGGAAACCTCATCACTTGTGCAATATCCTTACCAACAATACATAATCTGAAACTAAACATGAAATATATCAAACTCCAAATGAACATCTTTCTCCAAAATAACTTTCCTATTAAAAAAAAAACCACCATGTTTATAAAAGACAAAGACTGTGGAATCTTTCTAGACTAAAGAAACTGTGGAATGTGACAACTAAAGACAATGCATAAACTGGACTTTGAATGGCATTGCAGGTGAAGGGTGGGGTAGGGGACACAGTCATAAGGACTTTATTTTTTTATTTTTTGAGACAGAGTCTCGCTCTGTCACCCATGCTGGAGTGCAGTGGCGCGATCTCAGCTCACTGCAACCTCCGCCTGCTGGGTTCAGGTGATTCTCTTGCCTTAGCCTCCCAAGTAGCAGGGATTACAGGAGCATGCCACCACACCCGGCTTTTAAAAATATTTTTAGTAGAGACAAGGTGTCACCATGTTGGCCAGGCTGGTCTCGAACTCCTGACCTCAGGAGATCCACCCGCCGTTGCCTCCCAAAATGCTGGGATTACAGGCATGAGCCACTGTGCCTGGCATAGGACTTTAAATGAAAAACTGAACAAATTTAAATATGTAACTACAGATTAGATAACAGGATGTTAGGTAATATGCTATTCAACACTATCTAATGAGTAACACTACAACTACTAGTAGTCTTTTAACAGATCTGATATGTAATAGATAACAATATTATTTAATATCTAATATTATCTAGCATGTTATGTGAAACCCTATACCATCCCTTCTTAAATACCTCTTACCAACACACCCCACATTTACCATGGTATGTGGGCTTCCTTGCTGCAGAAAGCCATAATCAGCTGTCTCTGGTTAGTTATGTTCCTGGTGGTATTTGGCTGATGGTCATCAACAAAGCAACCAGGAAAAATGTAAACAATTGGCAAATTTGGATAGAGTATGAGAACTCCTTATACTATTTTTGCAACTTTTCTATAGCTTTTAAATGATATAAAGATGAAAATATTTTATTTTGTTTTTAGTTTTTAATTTTTTTTTTTTTGAGACAGAGTCTCGCTCCCTAGCCCAGGCTGGAGTGCAGTGGCGCGATCTCGCTCACTGCAAGCTCCGCCTCCCGGGCTCACGCCTTTCTCCTGCCTCAGCCTCTGGAGTAGCTGGGACCACAACTGCCTGCCACCATGCCCAGCTAATTTTTTGTATTTTTTTTTTTAGTAGAGATGGGGTTTCACCATGTTGGCCAGGATGGTCTCGATCTCCTGACCTCGTGATCCACCCGCCTCGGCCTCCCAAAGTGCTGGGATTACAGGCGTGAGCCACCGCGCCCAGCAAAAATATTTTAGATATCAGGAAATAGTCATAAGGATAATGGGAATAATAAAATTGAGCATTATATAATATGGCAGTTCACTAGTTTATTCTTTTTTTTTTTTTTTTTTTTGAGTCTCACTCTGTTGCCCAGGCTGGAGTGCAGTGGCGTGATCTTGGCTCACTGCAACCTCCACCTCCCGGGTTTAAGCAATTCTCCTGCCTCAGCCTCTAGAGTAGCTGGGACTACAGGCACGTGCCATCACGCCCGGCTAATATTTGTATTTTTGGTAGAGATGGGGTTTCACCATGTTGGCCAGGCTGGTCTCAAACTACTGACCTCAAGTGATCCACCTGCCTTGGCCTCCCAAAGTGCTGGGATTATAGGCATGAGCCACCACAACCAGCCTCACTAGTTTAGTCTCTATTAGCAATATTTAAAATTTTCTATAGTTAAAAGACATATGGGAAAACACATTAAAATATAACAATTTTTAAAAAAATGTTTATCAACAAATATAGAAGTAGACACAAAGAAAGACAAAAGAAATCAATTAGAAGCTTAACAGTTACTACCTTTACATCTTGGATACATGGGTAATTAAAAAACTTTTTCTACTCTCATTTCTCCTATTTCAGACTTTTCCACAATGATACAGTTCCACAACAGTACGAAATACTTGGAAAACATGAAACAAAATAGTTGAGAAATTTTTAAAAATTCCTAGACGTCCAAGCCCACGAGCCTTGCTCTCAACGTCCTTTCAATCAGGTCCTAACTTGCTTTCCCTACGAGTCCAGCTAGTTCCTCTGCCTCAATGAGAATGTATCCAAGAGGTGATCAACTCAGGCTCTGACCTGGACTGCCTAGGTGCCAACCCCAGCTCTACCTCTCACTAGTTGGCTGCTATGCACCCTGTGTCTCACTCTCATTTTTAAAACAAAGAAAAGCAATACTTCACAGAGCCACAGTGTGGCCTAAATTTATTTGTATAAAGCACTTAGAATGAAGTTACCAATTACGGCTTAATGATTATCAACACCCATTCCCGAGGACACACTCTCGGTTGGGTGAACATCTCTATAAAGGAAAAAAGCCAAGGACCAATCACATAGAGATTTGCCCTCAGTAGCCAAGAAGTCCCCTCCCTGCAGCTCTTTTAGAAAGGTCAGGCTGGGGAAGGCGAAAGTTGTGAAATACCCTGACTGCATCGCGGTCCCCCATAAAAGTTAAATGCTCCCCGCCCTTCGTGGAAGCGGACGCAACTCGCTTTCCTAAAAAGAGGTCAGAAGGCCTCCCGGGATCATCCAGCGTCCTGCAGGGATTAGGGAGAAGGACCAGGGCCCCTGCAGCTGAAGCTATGACTCCACCCGGGGACCTGACCTCTTCGGGAAGTTAACAAGAGACCACCAGTCACCAAGTGACAGGGACTGCTTTAAGGTTCTCATTTGCGTTATCTCTTTCAGTTCCCAAAAACGATTCTACTAGGATGGTTCTAATGTCCCCATTACCAAAAACAGCAATGGAAAGTATAAGGACATTGAGTAACACTCCACGTCACACTGCGAGAAAGCGGTCGCACAGGTAGGGTGGAGAGAGGCAGGCTGAGCGAGGTCAAAGTCCTGGAAACGCTCACAGCAGGGCACAGAGGACCCCGCCAATTCCAACCCCCGGGATGCGAGCACAGCACCCCCATCCCAGAAAGCTTCCGTGGACGGGAAAAAAACCCCATTCCCCGCCCCCACCAAACCTCCGCTCTCCGCCAAGGCTTCTTTTCCCTTGCTTGGATCATCGATCATCGGGTCGTTGCGACCCCAAGCGAAGGTGACAAGTTCAGAAGGACCCGCCAGACGCAGAAATGGCTCAAACTACGCGGTTATGTAGCAACCGCAGGCTCACACACCGGAAGTGCTCGCGTCTCCACAGAGCGTCTGGACTCCACTTCCCAGAATTCCCCGGTTCAACTGCTTGAGCCAAAGGGTCCGCCATTCCATGAAGTTGATGGACTACAGTTCCCAGAATTCACTCGTCCACCCGCCTGAGCCAACTTGCCCGCGACTCAGAGTGTGTCTGGACTCCGCTTCCTCCAATGCCAAAGGAAAATGTCTATAATCTCACTCTTCAGCGGGAAGCGTTGGACTCCGCGGTGGTCCTTGACTACACACACCGCAGTGCCCACCGGGAACGTATTCCATATCTCTGAGCGCCTGGTGGGGAATGTGGACTGTGACCCTGTGAGTCGTCCGTCTCTCTTCCTGAGTCTTTGAGCGAAAATAGTGTATAGACAGGAATTCCTGAAGTCTAAACGCCTCCCACGATGACAGGAGTGTTATTGGGAAGAGAACAAACGAGGAGATAAAATCTTCAAGGATTAGGATAATCTGACGATGGGAGGTTAAAACTAACGGTTTAAAGGATGAGCCAGGTGGAATGGTTTGGCAGGGGCAATGAGGAGCAGGAAGACACCAGCCCCTACTCCAGAAGCTGTGGGACCACTGGTTTGGCAGGAAAAGCCACCCCCATTTAAGATCACAGCTACTAGTGGAGAAGCGGTGTCGTCATGGAATAGCTATCTTCCCATAAACTTTTCATGGTATTCATATTTCTCCTTAGATGTAGAAACATCAAATTTCAGCGAATGTAGTGAATTGCTCAGTACCTCAGAGCAATAATGACTGATGAAGAGCTAGGCATTGGTATCAATCTTACATTGAGATTGTAAATGCAGTAAAACGGGAGGATTCTATAGGTGAAGGAGCATGTCTTATAAAGAGTTTTCTTCCTGGCCAAGCGCAGTGGCTCAAACCTGTAATGCCAACCCTTTGGGAGGCCAGGGCAGGACGTTCCCTTGAGCTCAGGAATTGGAGACCAGACAGGGAAATACAGGGAGACTTCGTCTCTATAAAAATTTTTTTTTAACTGGCCAGGCATGGTGGCCTGATCTTGGGACTACAAGTTCCAAGTACTCAGGAGGCTGAGGTGGGAGGATTGCTGAAGCCCAGGAGTTTGATTGAGGCTGCAGTGAGCTATGATGCCACCACTGCCCTCCAGCCTAGGCAACAGATACCTCAATAATTAAAGATTTTTTTTTTTAAGTTTCTTCTTATTTCTTGGTGAAACATAATTTCTTTATTATAGTTAGCAATTTAAAAACTGGCATTGGTTAAAAAATAATAACAGTATAAAGCTAAATTAGGAAACAATTCATCTAAAAACCTGCTCTTTTGAAGGTAACTTTTTTTCTCCCTATAAACATACATTGGCCTATAAACCAATATTCTTCTTTTTAAAAAAAATGGAGTCTACTGTTTACCTATTTTTCTAAACTAAAAACTTTTCAAAATTTTGTTTAGACACAAAAATAAGGTGACTGTGCCAAACTTTTGATGCCAAACATCCGCTCTCTGAAAATTGAGTGATCACTATTCATATGCCAGTTATAGCTGTATCCTTGATCTACTCTGCCTTCCCGAAAGATAAGATGTATTGACACACTCAATCGTAGCATGCAGGGAACTGAGCCTAAAAGGTTAGGGGCACTTGGCATCAAAGGTCCCTTCTGCTTCCCAGGTCCGTGCACTCTGGGTCTGTGTTGGGAGGAGCAGCCTCTATGATCTCCTAGATGCCTTTGGGGTCATTCTTCCAGTGTTAATGGACAGCAGGTCCTGGCTTCTGTTGACATGACCAATCCAAACTAATCTCCTAAATCAGTTGCTTATCTCTACCGTTGTTTTATCCAGAACAGGTTTTCTAATTTTTTTTTCCAAAGTAGATAGGCTGTGAATTTTTAAAATTCTTAGTTCTGTTTCCCTTTTAATTAATAATTCTGACTTTCTGTGGTGTCCCTCCCACATGTGGGAATTCTGGGAGATACAATTCAAGCTGAGATTTGGGTGGGGACACATCCAAACCATGCCATTGATGACACTGACAAAAACAACAGGGAAAGGACTCCCTATTCAATAAGTGCTGCTGGGATAACTGGCTAGCCATATGCAGAAGATTGAAACTGGTCCCCTTCCTTACACCTTATACAAAAATGAAGCTGGGCGCTGTGGCTCACCTCTGTAAAAATGGGTAATAATGTCCCCACTTTTAGTTACTTGAGTCTTTTTTAGTCAGTCCTGCTAAAGTTTTCACAATTTTGTTAGTCTTTCAGAATAATCAACTCTTGGTTTGGTTGATTTTCTTTGTATTCTTCTTCTGTATTTTATTTATTAATACTTTAATCTTTATTATTTCCCTCCTAATCACTTTCTGTAAGATTCTCCTTTTCTAGTTCATGAAAATAAAATTAGGCTGTGGATGTCAGATCTTTCTTCTTTAATATAAGCATTTACAGATATAAATTTCCCTCCTCCTACTGCTTTTGCCTCATTCCAAAAGTTTTGGCCATTGTTTTCATTTTCAGTTGTCTAAGGTATTTCCTAATTTCACTCCTGATGTACTCTGACATATTATTTAAGAGTGTGCTGCATGCACACGTATGTTTATTGTGGCACTATTCACAATAGCAAAGACTTGGAACCAACCCAAATGTCCACCAATGATAGACTGGATTAAGAAAATGTGGCACATATACACCATGGAATACTATGCAGCCATTAAAAAAGATGGGTTCATGTCCTTTGTATGGACATGGATGAAGCTGGAAACCATCATTCTGAGCAAACTATCACAAGGACAGAAAACCAAACACCGCATGTTCTCACTCATAGGTGGGAATTGAACAATGAGAACACTTGGACACAGGGTGGGTATATATATATATATATATATATATATATATATATATATATACACACACACATACATATATACATATATATACATACATATATATACACATACATATACATATATATACATACATATATATACACATATATATATAAAGAGTGTGTTTAGTTTCCACATACTTGTGAATTTTCCACTTTTCATGATGTGATTGAATTTCAGCTTTTGTGATCTAGATTATAATTGGAAAAGACTTTTATGGTATTAAACTTTTGAATTTATTAAGATGTTTTATTGAATTTATTACAACGTTTTCAGCCTGTAGTGTGAGAAAAATTACAAATTATTGTTGAATTTATATTGTATTCAACCAATGGAACACTACACAAAGCCACAAATACTAAGAATGCAACTTCGGAATAGAGGAGGAGGGGAAGACAGGAACCAAGTGTGAACAGATATTATCAAAATAATGCTGTGAACTGCAGTATTTAGTGTACTCTGCATTTCAACTCAGGTGTCCCTGAATTATTTGTAGATTTCCTCTCTTAGATACAATTTAAAAACATCGCGTTTGCTCCTTTTAATTCATTTAACACATAGTGAACACAAAGTGATAATCAGTGTTAAAGTTGTGAAGATGCAGCAGAAAACACATGTCACTGACATTCTAGTGGTAATCAACTTTGATATGTTCATGATTCGTTTTGTAAATGCATGAATGAACTCTTAAGGTCTGTCTCCTGAATAACTGTAACTGTCAAACTTTTGTTTGAAGCCCTACTGCACAACTTACAAGGGTTCTCCACTGTGACAGTCCCAGGACCACTGGGGTATGCTGAGCTATGGCTGAAACAGGCTTTAACTTAAATGTTTTTTCTCCTACAGGACTGGATGAAATGTATCATCAGCATGGATTCTGTGATAAATTACAAGATACAAACTCAAAAGGAACTGCTTTCTATGTGCCTCATATTTTAATGTTTCTCCCCTTTGTGAATGCTTAGGTGAGACTGTAGTCATGAAAACTGAGTAAAGACTTTATTACACACATTACTGAGGCTTCTCTCCAATGTGGACATTCTGAAGTTGAAGACTTGAGGCCTGAATGAAGCACATACCACCCTCCTCATACTTCCGTAGTTTCTCTCCCGTGTGGAGCTTCTGAAGCATAATAAAATTCAAGTGATCCAGCAATTCTATTACTGGGTATATCCAAAGGAAAGGAAATTAGTATGTCACGGAGATATCTGCACTCCCAGGTTCATTGTAGCACTACTCACAATAGTCAAGATAAGGAATCCACCTAAGTGTCTATCAATACATGAATGAAGAAAAGGTGGCATATATACACAATGGAATCCTCTTTAGACATAACAAGGAAACAAAATTTTATCATTTGTGGCAACATGGATGAGTTTTCAAGGACATTGTTAATATAAGCCAAGCAAAGAAAGAGAAATACTGACTGTCCTCACTCATATGGAAGTTAAAAAAAGTTGATTTTGTAGTAGAGAGTAGAACAGTGGATGTAGACAGGCAAGGAAGTGTAGGAGGTAGGTGAGATGGCCAAAGGTTGGCCAACAGATACAAAAGAGGTAGAGGGGAAGAATAAGTTCTACTGTTCTGCAGCACTAAAGGTGACTATCATCAACAATTATTTACAAATTGCTAAAAATGTGTTGTAGTCTCACAAATGCACCACACTGTAACAGTCTCTCTGTAACAGTCTCTCTTATCCCCCGGAGTTCTTAATCTCACGTCCAATATGATTAAGAAGCACAGACACAAGGGTGAAATTGGAGTAAAAGTTTAATAAGTGAAAGAAAAAAGCTCTCCACAGTGGAGATGGGGATCCAAATAAGTTGCCCAGTATGAGGCTGGGGTCCGGGGTTTTTATGGACTGGGAAGGGGAAGGAATGCACTTAGCCTGCGGGCTGTCTTGGAGAAAGCGTGATTCAGCTTGGTCTGGGACCTTGGCCCGGGACCAATCAGGAACCGAAGTGATGATTCATAAGGGCTATTCAGCTTGGCCCGGGACCAATCAGGAGTTGAAGTGATTATTCCTAAGGGCTATTCAGCTTGGCCTGGGACCAATCAGGAGCTGAAGTGATGATTTACAGAGGCTGGGCTTTTCCTTTTCCACAAAAGAAAGTGCCAACCTGAACCTACTGAAGCCCACTGTGTTCATGCCCACAAAAGAAGAAACTTTTTCCTCGGAGCCTGCTGATTATACAAAGGACAAAGGCATTTCTGTGTCTGGTCTTGTTCCCTTAACTGAGTGAGCCGGAGGTTTGTGCGAGTTTTTACCTGAATGGGCTGGAGGTTCTTCTATCTGTGCAGCCATGGGCATGTCTCCAGGCACAATCCCCTGTGCTAGTTCCCTTATCAGTGCCTGTAGCTTGATTGTCTTCCCCAGGCTGCTTTTTGTGTTATGTGGGGATGAGACACTGACCCGTTTGGCTGGGGGTCTCCAGGGACCCTTCCCTTGCTGTCTACCAACTCCTCTCAAATGGATTTTGAATTTTCCAACACAAAGAAATGGTAAATGTTTGAGGTAACAGATACACCAATTACACTGATTGGATCACTATAAATTGTATGCACACATTAAAATAGCACGTTGTACCCCATAAATATGAACAATTATGTGTCATTTAGAAATAATGATAAAAGTATATCCAGATTCAAGCGCCTCTTGTAGCGTCTCCCACAATCCTCACATTTGGATGGGTTTTCCCCACTATAGTCTCTCGGCTGGTCTTTACGGTATGTCCTGTGTACAAGCCTCTTTCCACAGTCCTCACATTTGAATGGTTTTTTCTGGCAGTGGAGTCTCTTATGATTCAAAATACTTGAGGCCCGGCTAAAGTTCTTCCCACATTCCTTACAATTATAAGGTCTCTCTCCCGTGTGGACCCTCTGGTGCAAGTCAAGATTAAACTTAGTAACATAGCCCTTCCCACACTCCTCACATTTATATGGCTTTTCACCACTGTGGGATCTCTGATGGGAAGACAGTTGTGAATTTGTATAAAATCCCTTTCCACATTCTTCACATTTGAAGCTTTTTTCTCCACTGTGGACTCGCTGATGGTTCAAAAGGCATGAGGACCATCTGAAGCTCTTCCCACATTCTTTACAATTATATGGTTTTTCTCCTGTGTGGACCACCTGATGCTTATAAAAATCTAGCCTACCAATAAAGCCTTTTCCACACTGCTCACATCTGTACGGTTTCTCTCCTGTGTGGACCATGCAATGCCTATTAAGTGCTGATCTCTGATGAAAGCTCTTATCACATGTATCACACCTAAATGGTTTTTCTCCTGTGTGAACCATGGAATGGCTCTTAAGTCTTGACCTAAAATAGAAGGTCTTACCACATATATCACATTTGAATGGTTTCTCCCCAGTATGGATTCTCTTATGTTCCTTAAGCTGGGAATCATGAATGAAGGCCTTCCCACATGCCTCACAAATGTAAGGTTTCTCTCCTGTGTGTAATTTACGATGAACATTAAGTGCTGATCTACGACTGAAACCTTTCCCACATTGCTCACATTTGAATGGTTTCTCTCCAGTGTGGACTCTCTGATGAGTTTGCAGATGTGAGCTTTGACTAAATTCCTTGCCACACACATCACACATAAAGAGTTTCTCTCCCACGTGGACTCTCTGATGAACATGAAGAGCTGAGATGTAACAGATGCTTTTTCCACACTCATCACATGTATAAGACTTCTCTTCTGAGTATAACTGCTGAGGAAGATCAAAGATGGGAACATCACTGATGGACTGTTTACACTTCCCACCCTGGGAAGGTTTCTGTCCTGTATGAATTGTGGGTAGTCCTGCTTCAACCTGGGAGGGGACATCACCATTTTCAAAGAACTGAGAGTTATTTATGATAGAGTCCTGAGACCTGGTTAAGTCTTTTGCAATTTGTTCCCAGATTTGCTGGCAGGACCACTCTTCATGTGCTCCTGCTTCTGGAACAGACTCCAACTCAGTTTGGATCTTGCCTCCTATAAAGACACAGATTTAAGAGATGTGTACAGGTGAAGCCTTTATTCAGTGATCTCAAGGTTTCACACTTAGGACATGACATTAAACTTTAATGAATACAGAGAATGTTCAGTTTGTTTTCCAAGTACACCCTGATTTCTGGTTTGCATGAGGCCAATTCAGAACCACATCATGTCTCACATGTGAAATCCTTGATAGAAATAATAGACTTAATTTAAAAATATGATATACATTTAACTTGTTACTATTTGTAATGAATTTCCTAGTCAGTCCAAAATCTTGCATGATAAATTATGAAAATAAAAATTTATGTACATAATGAAATATGAATCAAAAGGAACTTTAAGGAAAAGCAATAACTTAATCAACACTTTGTATATTTGTGTTTATGCTGTATATCCTTATAAAGAAGTTAAACTAGGCCAGGTGCGGTGGCTCAAGCCTTTAATCCCAGCACTTTGGGATTGATCACTGGAGTCCAGCAGTTCGAGACCAGCCTGGGCAATATAGCAAAACCCTGTCCCTACTAAAAATACATAAATTAGCCAGGTGTGGTCGTGCACTCTGTAGTCCCAGCTACTTGGGAAGCTGAGGTGGAAGAATTGCTTGAGCCTGGGAGGTGGAAGTTGCAGTGAGCCCTGGGTGACAGAGCGAGACCCTGTCTCAAAAAAAAAAAAAAAAAAAAGTGCTGGATGCAGTGGCTCACACCTGTAATCCCAGCATTTTGGGAGGCTGAAGTGGGCAGATCACTTGAGGTCAGGAGTTCAAGACCAGCCTGGCCTTGAAACCCCGTCTCTGCTAAAAATACAAAAATTAGCCACGTGTGGTGGCACATGCCTGTAGTCCCAGCTACTCAGGAGGCTGAGGCAGGAGAATTGCTTAAACCTGGAAGGCAGAGGTTGCAGTGAGCTGAGATTGAGATCGTGCCACTGCACTCCAACCTGGGAGATAGAGCGAGACTCTGCCTCAAAAAAAAAAAAAAAGTTAACCTAACCAAAAAGAGGTTGGGACTTTGTCCTCAGCATCTGAGAGGTAATCTCTAGGATCCTGAAGTGTCATACCTCAGGAGAGTGTCTTGGTTGGCTTGAAGGCAATCACTGGATCACTCTGCATAGTGAAACAATATAATTTATGGTTGCAACTGGCAAATCCTTTGGGGGATTGGGAGTGGGAGATGCTCCTCTCCATGTCAGAAATAAGCAATGTGATTTAAGGTGGAGCTTTAGGTCACAGAGAGTTAGTGGACTAGGAGACTGATTAACCACCTAGGAATCATCAATCAATACTGGCTCCATAATGGAGACCCAATAATTACTCTGGATCCCAGCACTTAGGTGAGTTTCTGTGACTGACAGTACTTTGAGTCTAAGTCATACCTTAATCCTGGGAATGTAACACATCCTACTCTGCCAGGAGAATACAATAGAAGGTCCGCATTTGGTTATTCTCATCTGGACCCTGTTTTATTTGGTTTTTCTCTAAGTATAATATACATGTTTTCCCTGTAAAAATCAGTCAGTGAGAATAAAAGTATTCAGTGAGTTCTGAGAGTTTAGAAAATTATTGAATGCAAAGGCAGTTTTGAAAACCTCCTGAATTTGCACTTGGTGTGAAGTGAGAGCAGTTCTCTGTAAAATGTCTCAGTAAATTTTGTAGTTGGTTGAACTCTGCACAACATTAAACATCAAACACTTCATAGTGTTTCTATGTACACATTCAAAGTATCCCTGCACAAGAATTTTGCACAGCATATGTAAAATACTTCATCTTACTTTTCTGTATTGATGTGGAGAGTAACTTGGTTATCTGAAGGAGTACAGAGACACACAACTACAGTTTTGAGGGGAATCTGAAAGGCTGTCCTTCCAGGGGTCCACAAAGGGGGATGCTCCTGAGCAGACAATCAAAAATGTGAAGAATCACATGAAATGAAAAGAAAGCCTATGATGCAGATAAATAGGACTTTATAACTTTTTATATTGAAGACTACACATTAGTGAGCTATGAAATACAGTTAAACTCTGCAATAAACATTTACAAAAAAGAACTGGAATGTAAATTATCACAGCATCATGACAAGCAGGAAAGTGGTCATTCCATGAAATGCCTCCTAGAGTCACTCATACACATCTACAGGCATGAAAAATGTTTGTCCGGGTTATATTGAAATATGTGCTTCTTACTATGGCTCATGCTTGCAAAACATTCAAAACTTTGTCAGGATAATACCAAGTCCTGAATTAAGTAAATTCTTCCAATGGAAAGTTAAGTTGCAGAGGTTGAATCTTGGAAAGGATTTATAGGTAAGTGTGTACCTATTGGTATACAGTGGTACGTAGATATATTTAATACACTGTCACTTATAAATAAGAGGTCTTGGCTGGGCATGGTGGCTCACATTTGTAATCCCAGCACTTTGGGAGGCCGAGGCGGGTGGATCACCTGAGGTCAGGAGTTCGAGACCAGCCTGGCCAATGTGGTGAAACCCCATCTCTACTAAAAATACAAAAATTAGCTGGGTGTGGTGGTGGGCACCTGTAATTCCAGCTACTTATGAGGGTGAGGCAGGAGAATCACTTGAACCTGGGAGGCGGAGGTCGCTGTGAGCCGAGATTGCACCATTGCACTCCAGGCTGGGTGACGAGCGAAACTGCATCTCAAAAATAAATTAAATTAATAAGAAATCTTTAAGGAGAAAGGAGAATCTTCAGGATGTTTCTAGTTTTAGAGGGCAGTTTCCCAATTCCTAACAGGTCATAAAGTTCACCAGTTCAAAATACAGCACTAAATCTATAAAAATCAAGAAAAAATTGTGTAAAATCTATATCCTTTAATGTTTTTGAAAACAAAACTTGTATGACATAAAGATGCAGAAATAGACACATTTATGAAGAAAGAGGACCAGAAATAGAGTAAATGTTCAGCTACATGACTTGTGTCCCCTCATCCTCATTCTTCCCCCTTCTAGTACGAAGGAGGAAGCTGGGGCCAGTGAAGTGTATATAGACTTTGGAAAAGGCAAATGGGCTGCAGATGGGTAAATCTTTCAAAGGAAATGTAGCTGGAAATCCTCATTCAAAAAGAATTTCTTCCCAGATATAAATATGCTCCCTATGGAAAGCTCCAGGATAAGTCTCAGGGAAGGCATCTTACTCAGTGTGGTCATAAAAACAATGCTTAGAAGTTTCCACGGGACGTGGGTCAATTGTACACACCTGAAACCAATCATGTCAAGGAACCTAAGAAAGTCAGAATTGGATAAGCAGCCATCAGCAGGCCAAAAAAACTGTTCTGCAATATACAGTCAGCCTTCCTATTATGTTACACAGCAAGGGGGATTAAAACGGCAGACGCCATAACGGTCACTAGTCACCTAAGCAGAAGGTAGGAAGATCATCCTGGTTTATGCAGGAGTGACCAATGCAATCACAAGGGACCTGAAAGGTAGAAGGCAGAGGCTTAGGAAGAGTGGCAGAGGGAATGGGATTATGGAAGAATGGTCAGAGATGCAAAGTAGCTGCCTTCGAAGATGGAGACGTGAAACAAGAGCCAGGGAGTGTGGACAGTGCCTAGACACTGGTAAACCAAAGTGAAGTTTTCCCTCCAAGAACATTCAGGCAGAAACAAAGCCCTAGGGACGCTTTGATTTTTGCCCAGTGAAATGTATCAAACTTCAGGCCTAAAGAACAGAGAGATAATAAATATTTTTGTTTAGTCCACTAAGTTTGTGGTCATTGGTTACCACAACAGGCAATACAGTGTCCTTGGCAGGACAGAAACAGCAGGGAAGAAATGTGGCTGGAAATGATGGAGAAAGATGGAAAGGACACACGTAGTCAGAGAGGCAGAATGGGATGAAGAGCAGACCACATAGGTCTCTAAGATGCACTTAAAGAGGTTGTAACATCAATAAAAATAAGAAGTTATAAAAGCTTTTGAGGAGAGGAATGACAATCTGACTTCCATTTCCTAAGGATCGCTTTGGCTGCCATGAGAACAGATATTAGGGTGGGAACAGGGCCACCAACTGGAAGGCAGTTGTAATAATCCAGGAAGGAGATGTGGTCATTTACATCAGAGCAATGCAAATGGGCATGGACAGAAGCACAACAGGTGGGAGAGTCAGGTACAAGGACACACAGATGCTTAGTTCTTACCTGAATTCCCTTCTCTTTGGGTTGCTGTCCCCATCATCCAAAACTTTTCTTCCCTTAGGAAGTGGCAAGTATCTTGGTGGAACGGTTGATGCCCTGTGAATAGGTAAGGTCACGTGCTGAATCCCAACACATTCTGGGTAATATTTAGGCAAAATTTACTGGCTATTTAGGTTCCCAATGCACACTCAAACTTGAACACTCTAAGGTACAAAACCACTCCTGAGGCCTGATGTTCAGACACAAAAGATGCCCGTGCTCACCCACTGAGAGCAGGTTCCTGAAGTTCTCCAGCATCACATCTCGGTACAGCTTCCTCTGGGCAGGGTCCAGCAGCCCCAGCTCCTCCTCAGTGAAGACCACAGCCACATCCTTGAAGGTCACTGCCTCCTACAACATCAAGAAGACATAACTTCAATCTTATGACCAAGGACTACTGGGGGAGAAGCGGCATTGAGCAGGGGAAGGGGATGAGTGGAAAGTTGTTCTCAGTATTGAGGGATGTAGGTCAACTTAGAGATTTCCCACTCATTCTGTCTATATCCTGACAATGACACATACTGATTTTCCTGAACTCCACCAGAAGTGCAATGATGAAGTCTCATACATTTATTCTGTGCACTCATTGAGTCTACTTGTATGTAACCCTCTAGGACTCTACATGCTGCATCCTGAGCTACCCATATATAGGTTCGACACATCTTGCCAACTGCCCCAGCAACATTAAACAATTCAGTCCCAACTTTGTTGGGTCCTCCTCTCTCGTACTCAAACCCTGGATGCTATTGCTTTTCTTTAGTATTTGCTAAACTAACAAGTTTTAGGTAACTGTGGGTAATTTTCAGGGTGGCCTTGAATCATTCTTTCTTGTGTATAGTTTTGAAGAATAAACATAGAACATGCTAGCAATGCAATGTTCCTGTCCTTCCTAGGGAAGATAATGTCTTGAGTTAGGGAGAAAGTGCCCAGTAAGTCGTATTGCCCCGGAGGTATATAACCTCGGGTGGGCTGCCTTCTGGGGTACCTCTGCTCTGGTGGAAATGGGGTCAAGATTCTACCCACCCCAGGACGTTTTCTTCAGCCTTGGATGGCCACCTCACAGTGTATCCTACACTCCTGTGCTCCCTTGCTGCCAATTTGTAGATAACAAATCTGCTTCACGTAATCTGTTGAGTGAGATCGTGTTCTGTCTCACAGGACTCACACAAGTTGGTAATCAGTGCACAGTGAACCTACTCCACAGTACCAGTGTGGACAGCTGAGTGGGACAGTTATGTAGTGTGTCCTCTACTCTCAAGGTACAAACCACAAATGTTAATTGCAGCCTTCAGTGTCCTGATCAGAAGCCAGAATGCATCACTGTACATCCTAAGGGTCTGCCCCTTCCTAACTGTGTGGCCTTAGACATGTTTGCCTACAGGATTTACTTTCCTCTCTAAATAATAGTCCTTATTTGGCACAGTATTTTAAAGGATTAAACAAGGAAATACATAGCATTTGGAAACATCTGTGCCACTGTTTAATGAACATTAGCTGGAATCTTTTTTACTGTTGTTACTAGCATTATCTATTTCATGGCTGCATAGTATTCCAGAGATCTGATGACCTACTTTTAGCTACAGTAAAGAATATTTAATTTTACATATTTTCCATTATCAATCCTGTAAAGAGCATCATTAAGTAATGATGTAGCAAGATGTAAGAACATCTTACTCTCTCATTGTTTAAAATAATAATTTCAAATGAAAATTAAAACATCAAAAAATAAGCACATTTAGAACTGTGATCATATAACTGCATGCTTTCTTCCCAGTTTTTTACCTACCTCCATAATCTTTGAACAGAATACAAGTACTTTGCTTCTCTTTATCATGACCAAGAGCAGGTTATAAGTATTCCCACAGTCTTGGTAATCTGATTTGGGGAACAAATCATTCTATTATTCTCACTTATTTGATTACAAATGAAAACCATCACTTTTCAAGGTTATTGGCCATCTCTACTTCTCCTTTTACATTGGCCTTTTAGTGTCCTTTGTTCCTATCTGTTTGGAGTTTTTCCTTTATTCTGTGCTCAAGGTTTTGATTTTGAATTTTATTTTCTTTAGGTATCCACGTGGCTAACATTTCTGCCCCAGGTCATTATTTCTTCTGGTAACATTGTGTGAGGCATCTTTTGCCAAAAGGGATTTAAAGATTTTCTATAACAACTATGGTAATCAGTATACTTCAGTGCCTGGAGTAGATGCCATGTCATAGTGACATGTGACAAGAAGTCACACCAAGTAGGGACAGGGAGGAGCAGCACCACTAGGGACACCATCACTCCACAGGGCACTCCAGACATCCACATCACAGGGCACAGGTTGCTCAATGGAGAATTCTGTCTCTCTCCTTGTTTCTCTTTTTCACCTGAGCCGAATGGCTAACACTCCTGACCTTTGGTTGCCTGTGTACACCTGAGAAGGTTTCTCATATTTCACCTGTTCAAGAAGAAGAAGAGACCAGGAACCTCATTCCGCTGCGCTGAGGAGTAAATGTAGTAACAGAACACAAGTGATTGGCAAAACTTAGTATCACTGGACATTTTAAATGAAGGCTTTCTACTGCTTTGGTTAAACTGCTTACTACATAAATGAATAAGAAGAGACCAGTAAATAAAGCACATGCAAAGTATGACTGAGACAAGGAGAACACAGAATCTAGCTCTTCCAGTGTGAAAACTCCAACAATATTTGTGTGGTGCAGCAGTTACATCCTTTTGTTCTGTGCCTAGTTAAAATATTCTATCTGCAAAACAGCCAATGTGGTACATATCAAAAGTACCCTTTCAAAATTGAGCTAAAATGGCATATGGTTTTCAAAATTAATTTTGTGGGAAAAGGTTATGTATAGGAAAGCTGTCACTGCAGTGTTGCTTAAAATATGTCTATGAGCGTGAGGTAGTTATAAATAAAAAGATACATCAATGTAATAGGAATATGATGTAACCATAAAAATGGAAGATTATATAACATATAAAAAGAGCACAGTTTACAATTAGATGTATATCATCAATACAAATACAGTTACAAATGTACATGACGAACAGCAGAGAAGATAAAAACAGATAATTTGAGAGAGGGGAGGTAAGGAAGTGGGAGCACTGTTCATTTCTACTAATTTTCATACTCCATAAAATAAATAATGGTAACAAAACAAAACAAAGCAAAACCAAAAACCAAATGCAGTCAACACAAAAGAGATAAAGGAAGCACCTGGCACAAACAGGTCCCCAAATGCCTGTTTTCCCCTTGAGTCTTCTCATGACAGAGAAAAACACATGAAAATATGAGTAGTGACATGGAATTTTAACAGCGAGAGAGGCACGCCCCCCTCACCTTGAATGTGGTCATTTTTCCTCCTACTTTGGGGAATTTGCAGACTCCTGGGTGATGCAGTTTGAATGAAGGAGGAATCCTGCCTGAAACGTGCCACAGTCTGCAGAAAAAGAGAGATGTGTGTTGTGAATTAGCCCATGAATGATCACAGCAGCATTATTCATAATAAACCCAAACTGCACACAACCAAGATGCCTTCCTCTGGGTAAATGGATAGGCAAATGGTGGTGTATCCATACCATGGAATCTTATTTGGAAATTTAAAGGATGTTTCCAAAGCTTGGAAACATCATGCTAAATGAAAGAAGCCAATCACAAAACCCATGGATTATACGATCCCATTTATATGAACCATCCAGAATAGATAATGGTATATAGAGAGAATATAAGTTAGTGGTTGCTCCAGATTTGAGGTGAGAATGAGTTTTTATTTTTTAAGAGATGGGGTCTTGCTATGTTGTCCAAGCTGGTCTCAAACTCCTGAGCTCAAGCTATACCTCCCACCTTGGCCTCCCAAAGTGCTGAGATTACAGGCATGAGCCACTGTGCCCGGCCTGAAAATGAGTTTTAACTGTAAGTGGGCACAAGAAGTCCAGTTAGGGGATGAAAATGGTCTAAACTGAATCATGATGATGGCAAAACCACTATGTGAAATTCCTGAAGATCACTGAATTGTACACCTGAAATTGGTGAATGCTATGATACGTAAAAAATACCTCAATAGAATTGGGAAAAATAATTGTTAGTTTACATGTCATTTAACTTAACAAGACTGAGTCCATACTGATAGAATATTTATAGTTGAAGAAACTAATAAATAAATGGGGGAGAACTGGCAGTTCATTTTTAGAGTGAATGCCCATTAATAATGTATCTCCCCAGAAGAAACTTGACTATTTCTTTTAAAAAGGTAATTTGATAGTGGACAAATCTGAAAGACATCATCTTGGCCAAATGAATGAAGTTGAGATCACCAATGAAGGGCCAAACCAACATCGTTTGGCCCTGTTATGTTACAATAGGAAGGAAACCTTATCACTTTGGCAGTATCCGCACCAACAATGCATAAGGCCCAGAAGCAATAACAATGCATGATCTGAACCTAAACATGAGATATATCAGATAAATCCCAATGAACGTCTTTCTCCAAAATAACTTGCCTACACTCTTTAAAAATACCACATATATTAAAGAAAAAGGCTGTGAAATCCTTCCAGATTAAAGAAGACAGAAATGTGACGAGTAAACACAATGCATATAATTAGACTTTAAACTGGGGTCAGGGTAAAGGGTAGGGTAGAAGATAGTTGTGAGGACTATAAATGAAAAAATTGAACAAATTTAATTATGGAACCACATATGAGATAACATGATGTTATGGAATATGCTATCTAGCACTATCTAATTATAACACTATAAGCACAATTAGTAGTTTTTTAAACAGATATCTAATATTTAATAAATATCATTTAATATGATATCTTAATATTGTCTAGCATGTTACGTGAGACCCTATAACCTGCCCTTTCTAAACACCTCTTACCAAGTCACCCCATGATCACCATGGAATGTGGGCTTCCTTGCTGCAGAAATCTACAATCGTCTCTGGTTACAGATATGTTCCTGGTAGTATTTGGCTGATGGCCACCAACAAAGCAAACAGGAAAAATGTAAACAATCGGCAAATTTGGGTAAAGAGTATATGAGAATTCCTTATACTATTTTTGCAACTCTTCTACAGCTTTGAAATGATATAAAAATGAAAGGTTTTCAACTATCAGGAAATAGTCATAAGGATGATAACAATGGGGGCTGGGCGCCGTGGCTCACACCTGTAATCTCAGCACTTTGGGAGGCCGAGGTGGGCGGATCACAAGGTCAGGAGATCGAGACCATCCTGGCTAACACAGTGAAACCTCGTCTCTACTAAATATACAAAAAAATAGCCGGGCATGGTGGCCGGCACCTGTAGTCCCAGCTACTCAGGAGGCTGGGGCAGGAGAATGGTGTGAACCCGGGAGGCGGAGCTCACAGTGAGCCGAGATCGCACCACTGCACTCCAGCCTAGGTGACAGAGCGAGACTCCGTCTAAAAAAAAAAAAAAAAAAACACAAATGGGAATAATATTGGATGAGCATGACATAATATGGCAGTTTACTAGTTTATTCTCTATTAGCAGTATTTAAAAATTTCCATAGTTAAAGAAATATGGGAAAACACATTAAGATATTATAACAATTTTTTTAAATGCTTATAAATAAATATACAATAGACACAGAGAAAGACTAAAAAGAAACGGAGGAGAACTGGAAGTTCCATCTCTTGTATCAGACAGTTAGCACCTTCACATCTTGGATTCATGGGTAATTTAAAACATGTTTTCTCCTCCTATTAATCTAATTTTAAAATGCTCCACAATGATATGGTTCCACAATACAAAATCCTTATAAAAAGTGAAACAGGATGTTGACAAATTTTTAAAAGACTCCTACAGAAGTCCAAGTCTATGAGCCTTGCTCTCAAGGTCCCTTCAATCAAGTCCTAACTCTCTTTCCCCACCTGATTCCAGCTAGTTCCTCTACCTCAATGAAAATGTATCCAAGGGATGATCAACTCAGGCTCTGACCCAAACTGCCTAGGTTCCAGCTCCAGCTGTACCTCATTCTACTGGGAACTAAGCACCAGGTGTCTCACTCCCATATTTAAAATGGAAAAGAGCGACCGGGCGCGGTGGCTCACGCCTGTAATCCCAGCATTTTCGGAGGCCAAGGCGGTCGGATCACGAGGTCAGGAGTTTCAGACCAGCCTGACCAAAACGGTGAAACCCCATCTTTACTAAAAATACAAAAATTAGCTGGGCGTGGTGGTGCGCACCTGTAATCCCAGCTACTTAGGAGGCTGAAGCAGGAGAATCGCCTGAACCTGGGAGGCGGCCTATTGCACTGAGCCCAGATCGCGCCACTGCACTCTAGCCTGGGCGACAGAGCGAGACTCCGTCTCAGGAAAAAAAAAAAAAAAAAAAAAAGAAAAAGAGCAATACCTTTCCACAGAGCCATGGTGTGGCGTAAATGTATTTATTTCCATAAAGCCCTTAGAATTAAGTTACCAATTAAGGTTTAATTATTATCAACACCCATGCCCAAGGACACATCCTATACACTCTTGGTTGAGGTGAACATCTCTGTAAAAGAAAAAACCGGCCCGGCGCGGTGGCTCACACCTGTAATTCCAGCACTTTGGGAGGCCGAGGCAGGCGGATCACTTAGGACCACAGGTTCGAGACCAGCCTGGCCAACATGGTGAAACCCCGTCTCTACTAAAAATACAAAAATTAGCCGGGCATGGTGACGCATGCCTGTAATCCCAGCTACTCCGGAGCTGAGGACAGAGAATCGCTTGAACCCAGGAGGCGGAGGTTGCAGTGAGCCAAGATCGCGCCACTGCTGCACTCCAGCCTGGGAGACAGAGCAAACCTCATTCTCAAATAATAACAATAATAAAAACAGACTAACAAAATAAATAACTTTTTTTTAAAAAGAGAAAAGCCAAAGACCACTCGTGTAGACAGCTTTGTCCTCAGTAGCCAAGTCCCTCCCTGCAGCTCTTTTAGAAAAGTCAGGCTGGGGAAGGAGAAAGCTGTCAAACACTCTGCGTCGCCGTCCCGGATACAAGTTAAATGCTCCTCTCCCTTCGTGAAACGTGGATGCAACCCACGCCTTCCTAAAAAGAGGTCAGAGGCGTCCGGGATCATCCAGAGCCCTGCCGGGCTCCAAGAGAAGGGCCGGAGCAGCTGGAGCTCTGACCCCACCCGGGCACCTGACCACTTCGCGGGAAATTAACAGGACACCAAGTGACAGGAGCTGTTAAGTCTTTGTTTTATACCACAACTTTCAACTCCTAAAACAATTCTATCAGGATGGTCCTGAAATCCTCATTTAAAAAACGGCAATGGGAGGTACAGGGAGATTAAGTAACACCCCACGTTATATCGCGAGAAAGAGGTCGCACACTTAAGAGTGGAGGGAGGCGGACTGAACGAGGTCAAACACCTGGAAAACCCTCTAAACAGGCACACAAGACTAGACAGAGTTCTTCCCCGCCCCCCCCGAACCCCCGACGACTCCTCCGGTGGACCTGAGTACAGCCCCCAACGCCAGAAGGCTCCATCGACGGCAACGAAACTTCCCTCCCACCCCTCGCATCTCCAAACCTCAGGTCTTCTCCAGGGCTTCTTACCCCCTTAGTTGACCCCCCAGGTCGTTAGGCGCCCCTAATAACTGGTTCACTTTCGCAAAGACCCGCAAGACACATACTTGGCTCAAACCACCTTGTTAAGTAGCAGTGTCCTGCTCGGAGACCGGAAGTGTCGATGATGCCACAGGCGTCTGGACTACACTTCCCAGAATCCCCCGAATCCGCCTGCCTGAGCCAAAGTTCCCACGACTCCACAGAGCAAATGGACTCCACTTCCCAGAATTCACAGGTCCTCCTGCCTGGGCCAAAATTCCCACGCCTCCCAAGCTACTCGCGAAACGCCTGCGGGAGCCAAATTTCCTGCGCATCGACCGGGCAATTAGACTCCCGCAGGCGTTTCGCTGGTATCTTGGGAAATGGAGTCCATTTGCTCTGTGGAGGCGTGAGAATTTTGGCTCAGGCAGGTGGACCTGTGAATTCTGGCCTATCAACCTATATTTTTATTTTAAAAAAATGGAGTCTCATGTTCTATATCAATTTTTCTAAACTAAAAAAGAATACTTTTCATGGTTTTCTTTAGATAAAGTGACTGTGCCAACCACAGTATGAGGAACACTTCTCTGAAAATTGAGTGACTGCTATTTCTAAACCAGTTACAGCTGTATCCTTGCTCTGTTCTGCCCTCCCAAGAGATAAAAATTTATTGACACGCTCAATCGTAGTAGGCAGGAAACTGTGCCTAATATATTAGGGTATATCTGGCATCAAAGGCCCTTTCTGTCCCCCAGGTCCTTGCACTCTGGGCCTGTGATGGGAGGAGAAGCTGCCATAATCTGTGAAATGCCTTTGGGGTCATTCTTCCATTGTCTTGGACAATAGGTCCTGGCTTCAGTTGACATGGCCAATCCATACTAAATTCATGAATTAGTTAGTTGCTTAACCATACCCTTGTATTCTTCAGGTTTCCTGTTTTTTTTTTTTTCCAAAGTAGATAGGCTGTAAACTTTTAAAAATTTTAGTTCTGTTTCCCTTTTAATTAATAATTATTTCAGTCATTCCTCACTTCGTGCCTTTCACTACGGGTAGTCAAGATGATTCAAGCAACTTCAACACTTTGATTAGAAATTAATTCAGATAAACAATTATATCATTCACAAATTCTACCTTCCATAAAACACTAGCACCTGAATATAATTCAGCCAAATTCTTTGTCCCTTTATAACAAGAAGCTCTCTTCTCTTCCAATAACATGTTCAACATTTCTGACTGAGGTCTTCAGAATGGCCTTTACTGTCCATATTTCTACCAACATTCTGATCATGACTACCTAGGTATGCTCTAACAAGATTGATGTTTTCTCTACAGTTCTTATTCTCTATTTCTGAGCGCTAACCAGAATTGTCCTTATCAGTCCATTCATGGCAATGTAGGCTTTTCCTAGCATACATGTAAAAACTCTTCTAGACTCTATCCATTACATAGTTCCAAAGACTGCTACATTTTTAGGTATTTGTTGCAGCAGCAAGCCCACCTCTCAGTACCAATATTTTTTAGTCACAAAATATCATAGCCTGCCTGGCTTTTATTTTATTTTATTTTATTTTATTTTATTTTATTTTATTTTATTTTATTTTATTTTTGAGACGGAGTCTTGCTCTGTCGCCCAGGCTAGAGTGCAGTGGCGCGATCTCGGCTCACTGCAAGCTCTGCCTCCCAGGTTCATGCCATTCTTCTGTCTCAGCCTCCCGAGTAGCTGGGACTACAGGTGCTCGCCACCATGCCCGGCTAATTTTTTTGTATTTTTGGTAGAGAAGAGGTTTCACCGTGTTAGCCAGGATGGTCTCGATCTGACCTTGTGATCCGCCCACCTCGGCCTCCCAAAGTGCTGGGATTACAGGCGTGAGCGACCACGCCCGGCCGGCTTTTAAGCAACAGAAATCTATTCTTCACAGATCTGGAAACTGGGATCCAAGATCAAAGCACTGGCAGATTTTGTGTCAGGTAGTTGGCCACTTTCTTGTTCATAGTTAGCACCATATTGCTGTGTCTTCATTTGGTTGAAGTGACAAACAAGCTCCTTCTGGCATTTTTTATAAGGGTATTCATCCCGTGACCTAATCACCCTCCAAAGGCCCCACCTCCTATTACCATCACATTGAGGGTAAAAATTACAATATATGGATTTTGGTGGGCCACAAACATTAAGACCATTGCATACGCATCATGCAGTGTCAGAGTTACTAATTCATATCATTGTAAAAAACAATGCAAAAGTAGAGTTCAACATTTTTTATAGTTCTTTTTGTCTTTAGACTGAGGATATATAGTCAAACACTGTACTGTTTAATAAGTTGCTTAAATTACTTCTTGCTGTCACCTTTAGACTGTTTATGTTATTGATTTGAAATACATTTAGGTTAATTTGTTATTCTATGATTTTCACTTTCCTAGTTTATCTACAAAGAAATCTCATTCTTGATTTTATATTATTGGGTATGTCAGTCATCAACATGTTCCCATGAGTCAATGCTCTACCACATATTATTCTCAGAGAAGTGCCACTCCCCTCCTTCCTACCCCTAAACCAATTCCACAGTGTTGCCACCTAACACCTTTATGTAACTAATTTTATTATTTTCATTACCACTTTTTTTTAACAGAATAGATGTGTTTCTTATTTTTCCTTTTTACTTAAATGTTAGGATAGTACACTTCTAATTCTTCTATATTCACATAATAACATCTTGGAAATCATGTCATATGGAGTAATTTATTTTTAAAACTGCATAAATTCCATTGAGTGGTTTATATAACAGTGCTGCAATTTATGGACATTTCAGTGACTTCCAATATTTTATTATTACAAATGATGCTGTTATAAATACACTTGTACATTTGTATATTATCCCTGTTGAAGATACATCAGAAGAGTACATCCCAGAAAGCAGGATTGAAAAGTGAAGATATTAATAGAAATTTTGTTGCATATTGTCAAGTTGCCTTAATTTTTTGGTACCATTTCCATTTGCAGAAGTAATGTATAAATATACTCTTGCCTTGAAACTAGCTAACAAAATGTGTTATTACAACATTTTTAAAGTTTTGCCAATCAAATGGTAAGAAGTGTATTTAAATTTAGTTTTAATTTATATTTCTTGTTTTTTAAATAACATAGAACATTTTTGCATATTTCCTGTGTCAATATTATTTTTCTTTTTGTAAATTGTTCAAATCTATTACCCATTTTTATGTTGAGTTTTTGGTCTGTTCGCCTCAATTTTTTTTTTTAGAACAAGGTCTTGCTATGTTGCCAAGGCTTGTCTTGAAGTCCTGGGCTCAAGCGATTCTCCCACCTCAGCCTTGTAAAGTGCTGATTTACTAACTAGGGCCAGCCAAAGGCTCAACCATCACTATCTTTCATTAACATTTTAATCACTTTTGGCTTTTCTGGGTCATAGGGTCCTGATGGCAGAGAAACTTACATAGCAGCTGGGACACATTGCACAGACTTATCTTGGATGAGTCAAAATGTTTTCAGGTCACACAAAATAGGCAAAGTAGCACGCCTCAATGAGGAATAAGTAGCATACAATAGCCCCAGTGGTCCACTAGGCGTTGTGACGCTATTTTTTGATCGTAGGAAGGGCTATATTCTACTTGCCCTACACCCAGAAGGGATAGCTCAATAGGCCTACATCAGTGAACTTGTGGAAATTTCACCAAGGTGAAAGGCCCATGAATTATTATAAGATTTATTTCTTCCCTCTGGTATGTATGTATCTTACAAATATGCCTAGATTCCTTCCTGCTTCCTTCTCACCAGGCCCAATCATCAAAATATAAACGTGCCATTTGATAATAGGAGTTAGTCGTTGCCAAGATGTTTGAATATTTCTCCTTTTGAGTACATAGTCACACGGGTTAATGGCTGTAGGGCCTTGTGAAGCACTCTGCAACGTACCAGCGTCCATCCTAATACAGAACTGACCTCCCGTTTATTGAAGCAATTGTGGATTTGTAAACTGGACTTGTCTTAGAATTGATTTGGGAGATGTGATTCTGTTAGGTAATTCCAGTTGGATTTCTGTTTACTTGCAAGAGAATCCTCCTGCCTATACAAATAAAGTAACAGTGTAATAGATTTCCTGTCAAGTTATTTACTATGAATGCCAAGATCAACAACACAAGGTTAAGAAGCCATGCATAATGACTGACGCTTTCAGGTTATTCTGATTGAGCTGGAATTTGATGCCTTGTCCTCATCTTTTTCTTTCCCACTTTCTGAAGCACAAATCAGAGCAACTAGTAAATACCACTATAGTCCTTCGTTTGACTATTATGTCCGAAACTAACAAATTCATGGTCATCTAGAATCATGCCTTCTATAGGTATATGCTTGGGATTATCCAATATATTTGGCATATATTTATCACCATGTCGTGGCTTTAACAACCAATGCCCTATTTTCCACTGGAAATAAAGTCAATAGTGCCTTTAAACTAAAAAAGATGAGAAATCCAATTTGAGAAAACACAGAATTGATTTAGAAAACTCATTCTTAAGATTCTCTTCCTCTAGAACCACTTCTGGAACAAAATATCTTTTGGTCAGCGTTGAAACGGAGTAACAAAATCAATATGACATATACAAATGATTTATTGCAAGGAACTTTCTTATGCCACTGTGGGACTGGCTAAGCAACTGCAAAAAACATATGGCTATACCCCAGGATGGCTCAGATGGAACACTAACCCACGAGAGGAAGATGCTACTAAAAGGTGCAATTTCTTTTTTCAAAGAAGCTTCAGCTCTACTTTTAAATAATTTCAAGTGATTCATCAGGCCCACTGACATTATCTCACATAATATCCCTACTCAAAGCCAACTGATTATGGGCTAAATATCTACAAAATGCCTTCCATATATATATATATATATATATGTATTACTGTTTGATTAAATAACTAGGGACTGTAGTCTAGGCATGTTGTAATTAAAATTGATACCACACAGATCCTCATCATCAGAAAACTGTTTAAGGAAAAATTAATATTCAGTACACCAGGATACAGCAGGCATTAGAAATGAGGTTGGAGGTCAACTTATTTATACAGCCTTTAACATTAGTGTCATATTAGGACAATCCTGTTAGGAGCAAGTATGCTTAGTGTGTTCCTAGTTTTGTAAAATTCTATACAATTGTTACCTATATGCATAGATATGCTGAACCATCCTTACCAAAATATTCATACTTCCTATCTTCCACTTTCTTTTTTAGACTTTTCTGTACCAAAGTAATTGTTTCCAATGTCTAGACATTATTCTTGCAAGTAAAATGAGTGTATTTTTACTATAAAAATTAAAAACAACAACAAATCTATCCAGGAAGTTATTGTCATAGTGTATCAAAAAAAAAAAAAAAAAAAAAAAACACACACACACAAATGTTGTGGCATTTAGCTCAAACATTTAAATGGATATCCTACTGATATGGTCAGAGAATAATAACTTGGGAAGCTTCCCTCATTTTTCAAACACAGAGATTGAGACTCTGCAATAATTCCCAATTATAATAATGTACCCAATTTCAAAGTTAACATAGTGAACTTGCCAGGGTCATATACATAAAAGAGACCCAGTCCATCGTGAGAAGTGGCAAGAAATACTGGCCACACAAAAGCTCAGGTACTACATATGAAGCTAGGTATTCAATATTCAGTTTTATTGGGAGTCAAATACTCATGCAGTCTGTGAGACATAAATATGAACAATAAAAACAAATCAGCTGTTAATATCATCCTGTGACCAATTTGAGGACCCAGACACACACGAGGGTAGATGGAAGGCCTACCTATGGTATTTTTTATTATAAAAATATTTAAAAATGTAATCTGATGAATTTTCTTTTACAAATAATTATCTTAGAGATGAACTATTATCTGGTGATAGTTTAAGAAAACCCCACAAGACTGCAGGCCCTACTTTTCTGATACCACATGCACAAAAAGTTAACATAGCAGGCATAAGTCAGACTGCTAACTTTAAAAAGAGCTGTTTGCAACACTGGCCTTTGGCTGGAGTCAAGGAACATGGGGTTTGAGAGAGTTACCACCTTTCCATAATGGGTAGGAGTGGTCACTGCGCCTAAACTCTACAATGCAGCTTATTTGGAACACTTGCTCTTCTTCTTAGAGTTGGGAATCTTGATATGTACTAGACACATACCTACATAATCAATCTCAATAAGAACCTGTGCTGCTGGTTGCTAATGAGCTTCCATTGTAGACATTTCACAAGTAGTATCACAATTCAATGCTAGAGGAGTTGAGTCTTATGTAACACCATGCAGAGAGGACTCTGGTAAGCTTGCTTCTGGTTTCCTCTAGACAACTGCCCATGAGCCATTTCCCTTTACAGATTCTGTTTTGTATCTTGTCACTGTAATATTGTTATAAGTACAACTATAGTCTCAGTTATTTTAGTAAATCACAGAACCCAGAGGTGGTCTTAGGGACCTCCAATCTACTATCCAAACTGGCACAGCATGAATATAGCATCATGAAAATACATTATTTAGAAAATTAATTATGAAAAGCTTACTATCTCAACTAGACACTTTGAAGAATGCCTTTTAACCTAATACAGTTAAGTTACACCATGGTGTATAACTATGAATTAGCACCCAAATCAGCTCTTTGTCCGAGCTGGTTCCACACACTAAGAGACTGCTGCTGTCATGTTAAGTTCCCTGATCATGCGCATTTGTTCTTCAAAGAATCTGTTTTTTTAACCTCCACAACTATATATACCCACATTATTTCTGTCACTAGGATTTGCTTGCTTCCTGACTTATGCCTAAAGCAGAATCACACACATTAGTTATGAAGGCAGTTGACCACACTCATCAATCTGTATATCCAGGTGACCAGATACATTTTTTTATTTTGAAATATGACTTCCACATCCCTATTCCTTAATTTTGAACTGTCATATGACAATGTAGAGCAATCTTATTCAGAGTCCTTATAGGTAAGTGATTAATATTAATAATTTTTCAAATTTTTCATCACATAACTGCTTTGGTAAAATTGGTGTTCAATGAGAAATTTAAAATGCATAAAATTATAAAATGAAAAATTCCAGCAAATACTCATTGCCAGGGAAAATGTCAGAATATTCATCCACAAATGATGTACATACACACTAAAAATAACCAAATAAACAAACCCAGAAACACAAAGACACTTAGTTTGTTATGAAGGCTACAATAGGATTTCCCTAAGGCATACATTATGCTCTTCTCTTTTTATTGTACATCTATGTCATCATTTTACTGGCTTTGTGTTTTTATATTAATAAATGCACTTCATACAAATTCCTGTGGTTGAACACTTGTTCTTTCCATTTTAAAATTAAGTGACATCATCCATGTAATCTACTAATTTTCAGAGTTTTAATGTTGTAATTTTCTATCCTATGATTTCCAGGTTGAACAGTTGTACCTTATACATACTGCCATATACCACTTTCCAAAAAACGTATTCTTATGGCCAACAATAAAGAAGAGTATGTAAAGGTTACTCTTGCTCCAATAATGAATATGTATGATGAAATCACCAAACTCCAACAAATGTTCTTGGTAGTTCATAGAGATGGGAAGAAATACTGAGGTTGCCAAAAATTTTCCTTCAAATTTGGCAAAGCTTCTACCTGAGAAGTCTGATAAAAGAAATAACTACAGCAATTAGAAGGCAATCATATTAAAGCCTGCACAGAAACGCAGAATCACAAATCATGATCAATTCAAAACTTATTAGGAATTTTTTTTTAGATGAAGTCTCGCTCTGTTGCCCAGGCTGGAGTACAGTGGCACAATCTCAGCTCACTGCAACCTCCGCCTCCCAGGCTCAAGCGATTCTCATGCCTCAGCCTCTCAGGTAGCTGGGATTACAGGCACACACCACCACACCAGCTAATTTTTGTATTTTTAGTAGAGACGGGGTTTTGCCATGTTGACCAGGCTGATCTCGAACCCATGGCCTCAAGTGATCCACCTGCCTCAGCCTCCCAAAGTGCTGGGATTACAGGAGTGAGCCACCACACCTGGCCTTTACCAGAAAAATTTTTGTCAATGTAACTACATCTGCCACATTAGAAATGTTACTGTGGGCTGGGTGTGGTGGCTCATGCCTATAATTCAAGCACTTTGGGAGGCTGAGGTAGGAGGATTGCCTGAGCCTAGAAGTTCAAGGCCAGCCAAGCAACATGGTGAGACTGTCTCTATTCCTTAAAAATAATTTTTTAAAAGAAAAAAGTGTTTACTGTGAATCCTGCCTTAAAATTGTTGAAAAAACTTAATTGTACAATATGCAGTGGTCTGTTATTACAAAATCTTTTCACCTCATATTGTGAGAAAAGTGACAAATGATTGTTAAATTTATACTATATACAATCAAGGGAACACTAGACAGAGTCCCAAATAATAAGAATCCGACTTGAGAACAGAGGATGAGGAGAAGCCAGGAGCCAAGTGGAATAAGATAATAATCAAAATAAAGGTCTACATTGCAGTGCTGAGTGTACCCTGCATTTCAACTCATGTTTCCATAAATTATTTCTTGCAAGATTTCTCCTTTTTAATACTATGATTTAGTTTTTTCTTCAACTTTTATTTTAAGTTCAGGGGTACATGTGCAGGATGTGCAGGTTTGTTACATAGGTAAATGTGAGCCATGGTGGTTTGCTGCACAGATCAATCTATCACCTAGGTATTAAGCACAGCATCCATTAGCTATTCTGCCTGATGCTCTCCCTCCCTCCACCCCTCCAAGAGGCCCCAGTGTGTGTTGTTTCCCACCATGTGTCCATATGTTCTCATCATTCAGCTCCCACTTATAAGTGAGAACATGCAGTGTTTGGTTTTCTGTTCCTGTGTTAGTTTGCTGAGGATAACGGCTTCTAGCTCCATCCATGTCCTGGATGATCTAATTTCTTTTTATGTTTGCATAGTATTCCATGGTCTATATGTATGACATTTTCTTTATCCAGTCTATCATTGATGGGCATTTGGGCTGAGTCCATGTCTTTGTTATTTTGAATAGTGCTGCAGTGAGCATACAAGTGCATGTATCTTTCTAATAGAATGATTTATAATTTGGGGGTATATATTACAGTAATGGGATTGCTAGGTGAAATGGTATTTCTGCCTCTAAATCTTTGAGGAATTGCCACACTGTCTTCCACAATGGTTCAACTAATTTATACTCCCACTAACAATGTAAAAGCATTCCTTTTTCTCCCCAACTTCACCAACAACTGTTGCTTTTTGACTTTTTTTTTTTTTGAGACACAGTTTCACTGTTGCCCAGGCTGAAGTGCAGTGGCATGACCTTGACTCACTGCAACCTCTGCCTCCGGTTCAACCAATTCTCATGCCTCAGCCTCCCAAGTAGCTGGGGATTATAGGCATGCACCACCACATCCAGCTAATTTTTTGTATTTTTAGTAGAGACAGGGGTTCGTTTCGCCATGTTGGCCGGGCTGGTCTCCAACTCCTGACCTCAAGTGATCCACCCACCTCAGCCTCCCAAAGGTTTGGGATTACAGCACTTTGAGCTGCTGCAAATGGCTTCTTTTTTACTTTTTTATAATTGCCATTGTGACTGATGTGAGACAGTATCTCATTGTGGTTTTGATTTGCATTTATCTAATGATAGTGATGTTGAGCTTTTTTTTCATGTTTGTCAGCTGCATGTACGTCTTCTTTTGAGAAGTGCCTGTTGATGTCTTTTGCCCACTTTTTAATGGTTTTTTTTCTCGTAAATTTGTTTAAGTTCCTTGTAGGCTCTGGATATTAGACCTTTGTCAGATGGACAGATTGCAAAGATTTTCTCCCATTCTGTAGGTTGTCTGTTCACCCTGATAATAGTTTCTTTTGGTGTGCAGAAGCTCTTTAGTTTAATTAGATCCCATTTGTCAAATTTTGCTTTTGTTGCAATTGCTTTTGGTGTTTTCATCGTGAAATCTTTGCCTGTCCCTATGTCCTGGATGGTATCACCTAGATTTTCTTCTGGGGTTTTTATAGTTTTGGGTTTCATAAGTTTTTAATCCATCTTAATTTTTGTATAATGTTTGTAAGGAAGGGGTCCAGTTTCAATTTTCTGTGCATGGCTAGCCAGTTCTCCCAGCACCGTTTATTATATAGGGAATCATTTCCCCACTGCTTGTTTTTGTCAGGTTTGTTGAATATCAGATGGTTGTAGGTGTGTGGTCTTATTTCTGAGTTCTCTATTCTGTTCCATTTGTCTATGTGTCTGTTTTTGTTCCAGTACTATGCTGTTTTCGTTACTGTAGCCTTGGAGTATAGTTTGAAGTTGGGTTGCATAATGCCTCCAGCTTTGTTCTTTTTTGCTTAGAATTGTCTTGGCTATTTGGGCTATTCTTTGGTTCCAAATGAATTTTAAAATAGGTTTTTTTTTCTAATTCTGTGAAGAATGTCAACGGTAGTTTAATGGGAATAGCATTGAATCTATAAATTACTTTGGGCAGTATGGCCATTTCACAATATTGATTCTTCCTATCCATGAGCATGAAATGTTTTTCCATTTGTGTCCTCTCTGATTTCTTTGAGCAGTGGTTTGTAGTTCTCCTTGAAGGGGTCCTTCGCTTCCCTTGTTAGCTGTATTCCTAGATAACTTATTCTTTCTGTAGCAATTGTGAATGGGAGTTCATTCATGATTCGGCTCTCTGCTTGCCTGTCGTTGGTTTATAGGAATGCTAGCGGTTTTGCACATTGATTTTGTATCCTGAGACATTGCTGAAGTTGCTTATCAGCTTAAAAAGCTTTTGGGCTGAGATGATGGGGTTTTCTAGATATAGGATCATGTCATCTGCAAACAAAGATACTGTGACTTCCTCTCTATTTGAATATGCTTTATTTCTTTCACTTGTCTGACTTGACTGGCCAGAACTTCCAATACTGTGTTGAACAGGAGTGGGGAAAGGGCGGGGGGCTGGTCCTTGTCTTGTGCCAGTTTTCAAGGGGAATGATTACAACTTTTGCCCACTCAGTATGATATTGGCTGTGGGTTTGAAATCTATGGCTCTTATTATTTTGAGGTATGTTCCTTCAGTACCTAGTTTACAGAGAGCTTTTAGCATGAAGGGATGTTGAATTTTATCAAAGGCCTTTTCTGCATCTATTGAGAGAATCATGTGATTTTTGTCTTTGGTTCTCATTATGTGATCACATTTATTGATTTGCATATGTTGAACCAACGTTGCATCCTGGGGATGAAGCCAACTTGATTGTGGTAGATAAGCTTTTTGATGTGCTGCTGGATTCAGTTTGCCAGTATTTTGTTGAGGATTTTTGCATTGATAGTCATCAGGGATACTGGCCTGAAGTTTTCTTTTTTCGTTTTATCTCTGCCAGATTTTGGTATCAGGATGATGCTGGCCTCATAAAAAGAGTTAAGGAGGAATCCCTTCTTTTCAATTGTTTGGAATAGTTTCAGTAGAAATGGTACCAGCTCTTTTTTGTACCTCTGGTAGAATTCAGCTGTAAATTTGTCTGGTCCTGGGCTTTTTTTTTTTTTTTTTGGTAGACTATTACTGCCTCAATTTCAGAAGTCGTTATTGGTCTATTCAAGGATTCAATTTCTTCCAGGTTCAGCCTTAGGAGGGTGTATGTTTCCAGAAATTTATTCTCTTTTTCTAGATTTTCTAGTTTATGTGCAGAGAGGTGTTTATAATATTCTCTGATGGTTGCTTGTATTTCTGTGGGGTCAGTGGTGATATCCCCTTTATCATTTCTGATTGTGTTGGATTCTTCTCTCTTTTCTTCTTTATTAGTCTAGTTAGCAGTCTATTAATTTTTTTCAAAAAACCAGCTCCTGGATTTGTTAATTTTTGAAAGATTTTTTGTGTCTCTGTCTCCTTGAGTTCTGCTCTGATCTTATTTCCTGTATTCTGCTAGCTTTGGGGTTTGTTTTTGGTTCTCTATTTTAGTTGTGATGTTGTTAACTTGAGATCTTTCTAGCTTTTTGATGTGGGCATTTAGTGCTATTAATTTCTGTCTTAACACTTCTTTAGCTGCATCCCAGAGATTCTGGTACATTGTGTCTTTATTCTTATTAGTTTCAAATAATTTCTTGATCTATGCCTTAATTTCAGTATTTACCCAGGAGTCATTCACAAGCAGGTTATTCAATTTCCACATAGTTGTGTGGTTCTGAGTTAATTTCATTTTTGTTTTAATTTTTTGGGTGAATTTCTTAATCTTGAGTTCAATTTGATTGTGCTATGGTCTGAGAGACTGTTATGATTTCAGTTCTTTTGCATTTGCTGAGGAGTGTTTACTTCCGATTATGTGATCAATTTTTAAGAGCCATGTGATGATGAGAAAAATGTATATTCTGTTGTTTTGGAGTGGAGAGTTCTGCAGATATCTATCAGGTCTGCTTAATCCAGAGCTGAGTTAAGGTCCTCAACATCTTTGTTAATTTTTTATCTCAATGATCTAATATTGTCAATGGAGTGTTAAAGTCTCCCACTATTACTGTGTGGGAGTCTAAGTCTCTTTGTAGGTCTCTAAGAACTTACTTTATGAATCTGGGTCCTCTGCTATTGGGTGCGTATATATGTTTAGAATAGTTAGCTCTTCTTGTTGAACCCTTTGCTGTTATGTAATGCCTTGCTTTGTCTTTTTTTTTTTTTTTATCTTTGTTGGTTTAAAGTCTGTTTTGTCAAAAACTAGGATTGTGACTCCTGCTTTTTTCTGATTTCCATTTTCTTGGTAGATTTTCCTCCATCCCTTTATTTTGAGCCTATGTGTGTCTTTGCACGTGTGATGGGTCTCTTAAACACGGCGTATCAATCGGTCTTGGCTCTTTATCCAGCTTGCACTTCTCTGTCTTTCAATTGGGGCATTTAGCCTATTTACATTTGATATTAGTATTGTTATGTGTGAATTTGATCCTGCCATCATGATGCTAGCTGGTTATTTTGCAGACTTGTTTATGTGGTTGCTTTATAGTGTCATTGGTCTATGTACTTCAGTGTGTTTTTGTAGTGGCTGGTAATGGTTTTTTCTTTCCATATTTAGTGCTTCCTTCAGGAACTCTTGCAAGGAAGGCCTGGTGGTGATGAATTCTCTCAGCATTTGCTTGTCTGAAAAGGATCTTATTTCTTTGCACATAAAGCTTACTTTGGCCAGATACTAAATTCTGGCAAAGAATTCTTTAAGAATGCTGAATATTGACCCCCAATATCTTCTGGCTTGTAGGGTTTCCACTGAGATGTCTGCTATTAGTCTGATGGGCTTCCCTTTGTAGGGGACCTGACCTTTCATTCTCTCTGACTGCCCTTTACATTTTTTAATTTTGACCTTGGAGAATCTGATGATTATGTGTCTTGGGGTTGATCTTCTCATGGAGTATCTTACCGGGGTTCTCTGCATTTCCTGAATTTGAATATTAGCCTGTCATGCTAGGTTTGGAAAGTTATCCTGGATAACATCCTAAAGTATGTTTCCAACTTGTTTCCATTCTCCCCATCTGTTTCAGGTTCCGCAATCAGTCATAGGTTCAGTCTTTTTACATAACTCCATATTTTTTTTCAGAGGTTTTGTTCATTACTCTTCATTCTTTCTCTATTCTTCTCTGCCTGTCTTATTTCAGAAAGATAGTCTTCAAGCTCTGAGTCTCTTTCCTCCTCTTGGTCTATTCTACAATTGATACTTGTGATTGCATTGTTAAGTTCTTGTGTTGTGTTTTTCAGCTCCATCAAGTCAGTTATGTTCCTCTCTAAACTGGCTATTCTGGTCATCAGCTCCTGTATTGTTTTATCATGATTCTTAGCTTCTTTGCATTGGGTTATGCCATGCTCCTTTAGCTCAGCAAAGTTCATTACCCACTTTCTGAGGCCTACTTCTGTCAGTTCAGCCATCTCAGCCTCAGCCCAGTTCTGTACCCTTGCTAGAGAGGTGCTGTAGTCATTTGGAGAAGAGGCGCTCTGGCTTTTTGAGTTTTCAGCATTTTTTTGTGTTGACTTTTTATCATATCTGTGGGCTTACCTACCTTCAATCTTGAGGTTGCTGACCCTTGAATGGGGTTTTTGTGGGGTCTTTTTGTTGATGTTCTTGTTGTTTTCTGCCTGTTTTTAACAGTCAAGCCACTGACTGTTAGCAACTGTAGGGCTGCCACAGTTTGCTGGGGTCTGCTCGAGACCCTAGTTGCCTCCGTTTTTCCCGTACCTGGAGGTGTCACCAGTGAAAGCTGCAAAACAGCAAAGATGGCAGCCTTCTCCTTCTTTTGGAAACTCTGTCCCAGGGGGATACTGACCAGTTTCTGGCCTGAAGACTCCTGTAGGAGGTGTCTAGAGACTCCTGTTGGGAGGTCTCACTGAGTCAGGAGGAACAGGATCAGGGACCTACTTACAGAAGCAGTCCAACTGCTTTTGGTACAGCAGGTGTGCTGCGGTGGGGGAGGACCCTTCCTCACCCAGATTGCCCAGACTCTCCAAAGCCAGCAGGCTGGAACAGCTTTGTCAACCGAACCATAGAGACAGTGGTCGCCACTCCCCTGGGAGCTCCATCTGAGGTAGAGATTAGATTTCTGTCAGTATAAGCCTGGCTGGAGTGACTGAAGACCCCCCACAGGGAGACCCCACACAGTGGGGAGGAATGGATCAGGGTCCTGCTTAAAGAAGCAGTCTGGGCCAGGTGCAGTGGCTCATGCCTGTAATCCCAGCACTTTGGAAGGCTGAGGCAGGCGGATCACCTGCGGTCAGGAGTTCAAGACCAGCCTGGCCAACACGGTGAAACCCTGTCTCTATGAAAAATACAAAAATTAGCCAGGTGTGGTGGTACCTGCCTGTAATCCCAGCTACTTGGGAGGCTGAGGCAGGAGAATTGCTTGAACCCAAGAGGTGGAGGTTGCCATGAACCAAGAGCATGCCACTGCACTCCAGTCTGAGCAACAGAGTGAGACTCCATCTCAAAAAAAAAAAAAAAAAAAAAAAAAAAAAAAAGCAGCAGTCTGGGCATGATCTGGCAAAGCAGGTGTTCTGTGTTGGGCAGGGGGATCCTCTCCTTGTCCAGACAACCTGGTCTCTCCAGAGCTGGCAGGCTGGAATGCTGAGTAGACTGAACCACAGAAATGGTGGCCAGCCTTCCCCCACAGGAGCTCCCTCCTATTTCAGGCTGAAGCCTGTTGCTGTTGGTTGGTTGAAATTCCAAGCCAGTGGGTTTTGTAAGGTGCCATGGAAGTGGGGCCCACAGAATGTTGCTGCCTGGCTCCCTGGATTCAGCCCCCTTCCTAGGGGAATATAAGGATGAATCTGCCACCTTGCCAGGAATTCTGGGGCTAGAGCATGTAAACCTCCTGGGTCTCTGTGTGTGCCTGAGAGGCCGCTCTGCCAAAACTCCACACAGCTCTGTGTATCAAACCCAAGGCCCTGGTGGCATGGGCTCACAAGGAGATCTCCTGACCCGTGGGTTGCAAAGATCCTTGAGTAGCATGGTTTCCTGCGCAGGGTCGCACAATCACTCACTGCTTCCCTTGGGTGGGGGTGAGGTTTCCTTTGGCTCCATGCCACACCAAGTGGGCCATAACTCCACCCTACTTTTCTTCATTTTCTGTGGGTTGAATTGATTGCCTAGTCAGTCCCAATGAGAGAACCTAGATATTTCAATTGAAGGTGCTGAATTTATCTGTCATTTTCATTCCTCTGTATGAGTACCATGAACCATAGCTGCTTCTAATTGGCCATCTTGGTCTATCCCAGGTTTCCTCTTTTAGATACAATTTTGAAATATGTTTTCTCCTTTTGATCCTTTAATATCACATCTCTGATATTTCAAAAGATATGAAGCCCAGCCAAAGCTCTTTCTACATCTCTTACATGTACCAAACACACATACAAAGTGCCAATCAGTGTTAAGGTTGTGAAGATTCTGCAGCAAAGGTAAATGCAGCTTATATTCTAGCCGACATCAATTTTGACATGTCCATCATTAGAGATTTGTAAATGCCTGAACAAACTCCTATTCTTTCTAAGGCCTGTCTCTTGAATAACTATAATTGCCAAACTTCTGAATGAAGCCCCAAATTACAAAGGTTCTGTGCTACAGTGGTTCTAAAACCACGTGGGTATGCTGAACTATGGCTGAAACTCTGACTTTAACTTAAATATTTTCCCTCCTGAGACTGTATGAAATGTATCATCAGCATGGATTCTGTAATAAGCTATGAGATATGAACTCAAACTGAAGTGCTTACCACATGTATCAAATTTTTAATGCTTCTCCCATTGTGAACTCTCAGATGAGCTTGTAGTTGAGAAGACTATCACAGATATCACCTTACTAAGGTTTCCCTTGAAAGTGAACAGTCCAATGAAGTTGAAGACTTTGAGGCATAACTGAAGCACATGGCAATCTCCCCAAACTTCCACGGTTTCTCTGCCATATGGACCCTCTGATGCATATCAAGTCAAGTGCCTGTTGTAGTACATCCCATGCTCCTCACATTTGTATGGATTATCTCCACTGTGGACTCTTTTCTTGGTCTTTAAGATGTGATCTATGGCCGGGCGCAGTGGCTCACGCCTGTAATCCCAGCACTTTGGGAGGCCAAGGCGGGCGGATCACGAGGTCAGGAGATCGAGACCATCCTGGCTAACACGGTGAAACCCCGTCTCTACTAAAAATACAAAAAATTAGCTGGGTGTGGTGGCGGGCACCTGTAGTCCCAGCTACTCGGGAGGCTGAGGCAGGAGAATGGCGTGAACCTGGGAGGCGGAGCTTGCAGTGAGCTGAGATAGCGCCACTGCAGTCAGGCCTGGGTGAAAGAGTGAGACTCTGTCTCAAAAAAAAAAAAAAAAGATATGATCTATGTACAAAGCTCTTCCCACAGTTCTCATATTTGAATGGTTTTTCTCTGCTGTGGAGAATTGATGGGTCAGATGAGTTGAGGCCCAGCCAAAGCCCTTCCCACACTTCTCACATTTATATGGCTTTTCTCCCACATAGACTTACTGATGTAAATGAAGCTGTGAATTCTGAGTAGATCTCTTCCCACACTCCAGATTTCAATGGCTTTTCTCCACTGTGGAGTCTCTGATGTTTCAAAAGACATGAAGCCCAGCCAAAGCTCTTTCCACATTCCTTACAATTATAGGGTCGCTCTCCCCCGTGGACCCTCTGGTGCATGTCAAGATTAAATTTACTGTTGTACCCCTTCTCACACTGCTCACATTTGTATAGCTTTTCTCCAGTATGGCATGTCTGATGGGAATGAAGTTGTGAACTCTGAGTAAATCTCTTTCCACACTCTTCACATTTGAAAGGTTTTTCCCCACTGTGGAGTCTCTGATGTTTCAAAAGACAGGAGGCCCAGCCAAAGCTCTTGCCACATTCCTTACAATTATAGGGTCTCTCACCCGTGTGGACCCTCTGGTGAAACTCAAGATCCAACCTCCTTTTATAGTCCTTACCACACTCCTCACAGTTATATGGCTTTTCTCCATTGTGGGATCTCTGATGGGAAGATCGTCGTGAATTTGTATAAAATCCCTTCCCACATTCTTCACATTTGAAGGATTTTTGTCCACTGTGGACTTGCTGATGGTTCAAAAGACATGAGGACCATCTGAAGGTCTTCCCACATTCTTTACAATTATATGGTTTCTCTCCTGTGTGGACCATCTGATGCTTACAAAAATCTCGCCTACAAATGAAGCCTTTTCCACATTGCTCACATTTGTATGGCTTCTCTTCTATGTGGACCATGGAATGACTATTAAGTGCTGATCTCTGACGAAAGTTCTTGCCACATGTATCACATCTGAATGGTTTTTCTCCTGTGTGAACCATGGAATGCCTATTAAGTCTTGATCTAACACGGAAGCTCTTACCACATATATCACATTTGAATGGCTTCTCCCCAGTATGGATTCTCTGATGTTCTTGAAGCTGTGAATCATGAATGAAGGCTTTCCCACATTCCTCACAATTATAAGGTTTCTCTCCTGTGTGCAATTTGCAATGAACATTAAGTGCTGATCTACTATGGAAGCCTTTCCCACATTGCCCACATTTGAATGGTTTCTCTCCAGTATGGACTCTCTGATGAGTTTGCAGATGTGAGCTCTGATTAAATTCCTTACCACACACATCACACTTATAGCATTTTTCTCCCATATGGACTCTCTGATGAATATGAAGGGCTGGGCTGTAACAGAAGCTTTTTCCACACTCACCACATGTATGAGATTTCTCTCCTGAGTGTGATTGTTGATGAAGATCAAAGACAGAAACATCACTGAAGGACTGTTTACATTCATTACAACGGTAAGGTTTCTGTTGCACGTGACTTATAGATAGTCTTGCCTCAATCTGGCAGGGGACATCACCTTCTTTGAAGAACTGAGAGCTGTTCCTTATGGAGTTTTGAGACCTGGTTAGGTCACTTGCAATTTGTTCCCATATTTGCTGACAGGACCACTCTTCATGTGGTCCTGCTTCTGGAACAGTCTCCATCTCAATTTGGATCTTGCCTCCTAAAAAGACACAGAATTAATATATGTGGGCAAGTGAAGCCCTATTCAATGTTTTCAAGATTTCACACTTAGGACATGGCATTAAACTTTAATGAAAACAGGAAACATTAAGTTCATGTTTTCCGAGTGCACTATGGTCTTTGGTTTTCAAGAGAACAATTTAGAACCACATCACATCTCATATGTAAAATCCTGGTAGAAATAAAAGACTGAATTAAATAATTAATAACATACATACACTTAACCCGTTACTAATTCTGGTAAATTTCCTAGTCTAAAATCTTGTATGATAAATTATTAAACTAATAAAATATGAACATGAATAATGAAGCCAAAGGAACTTTAAAGAAGGAAGGCAGTTGCAATAAGTTATGAAAGAAGTTTGGCAATTTAGACCAGGGTGATGGAAATAGGCATGGACAGAAGTAAAACAGATGGAAGAGTCATGTACAAGGATGCACAGTTACTTGGTTCTTACCTGAATTCCCTTCTCTTTGGCTTGTTGTCTTCATCTTCCAAAACTTTTCCTTCCCTAAGAAGTGGAAAGTATCTTGGTGGAATGGTTGATTCCCTGTGAACACACAGTGACATGCTTAATTCCAACCCATTGTAGGTAATATCTAGGGAAAATTTACTGGAAATTTAGGTTCCCAATGCATACTCAAACTTGGAATACAAAGCCATTCCTGGGGCCTAACATTCTGTTACAGAGGGTGCCTGTCCTCACCTACTGAGAGCAGGTTCCTGAAGTTCTCTAGCATCACATCTCGGTACAGCTTCCTCTGGGCAGGGTCCAGCAGCCCCAGCTCCTCCTCAGTGAAGACCACAGCCACATCCTTGAATGTCACTGCCTCCTAAAATATCCAACATACAAAACCTAAATCTTATGACCAATGATTATTCAAAGAAGGGTGGCACTAAGTAGGCAAAGGGGACAGGTGTGGTAAGTTGTCCTAGATCTTGAGGGATGTAGGTCAACATACAGATTTCCCACTCATTCTGCCTATATCCTGACAATGACACACGCAGATTTTCATGAGCTTCATCAGAAGTGCAATGATATAAAAGAAGTCCTGTACTTTTACTTTGTGCAGTCATTGAGTCTACTTGTAAGTAGCCCTCTAGGACTCTACATGCTGCCTCCTGGGCTACAGGTATTTAGGTTTTAGTGTGTTGTTGCCAATTGCCCCAGTAACATTTAGAAGTTTAGTCCCAACTTTGATAATTTCCATTGTCTTCCTCTCTTCCATTGTCTTCCTTTCATACTCAAACTGTGGATGTTGTTAACTTTTCTTTAGTATCTGTCAAACTAACCAGTATATGGTGACCTGTGTGGGACAGCTATGCATTGCATCCTCTATATGCTCAAGGCACAAACTACATACATTAGTTGCATCATTCAATGTCATGATATGGAACCATCATGCCTCAGAGCACATCCCAAAGCTTTGTCCCTTCCTAGATGTGTGGCTTTGGACAAGCTCACCTACATGCATTAGTTTCCTGTCTGTATAATGATTTTCACCTGGTATCGTTTTTTCAAGGATTAAAGAAGGAAATATATATAGCATTGGGAAAACTGTGTGGCAAAGACTAAGTATTTAATAAATATTATCTATTTTTATTATAACTGTCATTATTGTTATTTATTTCATCTCATTTCATATCTGCAAAGTATTCCAGGGCAAAAATGATCTCTTTTTATTTAAATAATGAATACTTCATATTAAATATTTTTTATTATCAATCCTGTAAAGAAAATAATTTTATATAGACTTTATTCTCCTGATTATTTAAAATAATGTCAAATGAAAATGAGAATGTCAATAAACACATTTAAAATTGTGATTACATAATTTCATACTTTCTTCCAAATTTTTTACCTACTTCCCACTCTTCCGAGTGAACACAAGTACCCTTATTCTCCTTATGATGGTTAAGAGCAGGTTGTAAATATTCCCATGGTTTCGGTAATATGATTAGGAAGAAGAATTCATTGTATTAATATCATTCTCACTTATTTGATTATAAATGAGCAGAATGGCTAACATTCCTGACCTTGGTTGCCTATGTGAATCTGAGCAGATTTCTCATATTTTATGAGTTTAAGAGGAAGATGAGACTAAAACCTGCATTCTGCTTCTCTGAGTAAATATAGTAACACAACACAAGTGATTGGCCAATCTTCCAGTATCACTGGACATTTCAAATGAAGGTACCTACTACTTTGGTAAAACTGCTTACTCCATAAAGGAATAAGAAGAGACCAATAAATAACATGCATACAAGGTATGAGTAAGGCATGGCAAACACAGAATCTAGCTCTTCCTGTGTGAAAACTCCAACAACAATATTTGTGGGAAGTAGCAGTCAGAGCCTCATGTGCTGTGCCCTGTTGAAATAATCTACCATCTATAAAACAGCCAATGTAATACATGTCAAAAGTATCCTATCTTGTTTTCAGAATTAATTTTGGGGGGAAGGGGTTATATATAGGAAAGCTGTCACAGCAGTGTTGCTTAAAACAGTAAAATTCCTAAACCACCTAAATGTCTATGAGTGTGAAGTAGTTAAAAATAAGAAGGTACATTAATTCATTGGGACTATGATACCAATATAAAAATGGAACATTATATAATATTATATAAAACGAGCACAATTTAAAATTAGAGGTATGTCATCAATAAAAATACAGTTATGAATGTACATGATGAAGAATACAAGATAAAAACAGCTAATTTGTGAGCAGAGAAGTAGTGAAGTGAAAGAATTATCCATTCCTACTATTTTATCTACTACAGAAAAGAAATTATGTAAGAAAACAAGAACTAAAACCAAACGGAAAGTCAATTCAAAAGCAGCAAAGGAAGCATCTGGCAAACAAAATGCCCTCAAATGCTTGTTGTTCTCCTTGAGTCTTCCCAAGACAGATAAAAATGTGACAATATGAGTAGTAAGATGGAATTTTAACAGCAAGAGAGGCAAGCCCTACTCACTTTGAATGTGGTCATTTTTCCTTCTACTTCAGGGAATTTGCAGAGTCCTGAATGAAGCAGTTCAAGTGAAGGTGAAATCATGCCTGGAAAGTGCCAGGAAAGGCAGAAAAACAGACAGGAAATGGTAACTAGGAATGCCGACCACCAACATAGACAAGTATTTTCAATTAGCACATGAATGTTCATAGCAGCATTACTCATAACCCCAAACTGCAAACAAGCAAAATGCCCTCCTACGGGTAAATGAATAGACAAATCATGGCATATCCATACAACAGAATTTTATTTGGAAATTCAAAGGAGTGAAGAACTGGCTCATGCTACAACATGTATGAACCTTGGAAACATTATGCTAAGTTAAAGAAGCCAGTCTAAAAACCCCATGGATTGTAAAATTCAATTTTATAAAATATCCAGAATAAGCAAATGTATATATAGAGAAAGTAGGTTAGTGGTTGCTCCAGATTTGAGGTGAGAATGAGGTTTAACTGTACATAAGCACAAGGAGTCCAATTGGGGGGCGAAAATGATCTAAACTGAATTATGATGACGGTCACACCACTGTTCAAAGTTCCTGAAGATTATTAAATCGTACGACTGAAATGGGTAAATTCTATGACATGTAAAATACACCTCAATAAAGTTGGAAATAATAACAGTTAATCTACATGTTATTTAACTGGATTGTGGGTCCATATTGATAGAATATTTATAGTTGAAGAAACTGATTAATAAATCAGGGAGAAGTGGAAGCTAATCTTTACAGGATAATGCCCACTAATAATGTATCTCCCGTAAGAAACGTTTTTATTTTCAAAATTTAATTAAAAAGTAACCTTTCAGTGGAAAAATCTGAAAGATATCATCTTGGCCAAGTGAACAAAGTTGAGATCTCCAATGAAGGGAAAAACAGACATCATTTGGCCCCTGTTATGACACTTCAACACTTCTGTGGTATCCACACCAACAATGCATAATCTGAACCTAAACATGAAATACATAAATCCCAAATGACTATCTTTCTATAAAATACTTTGCCTATATACTTCAAGGATGTCAAGAATAAAAAGACAAAGCCTGTTGAATCTTTCTAGATTAAAGAAGACTACAGAAATGTGACACCTAAAAGCAGTACATAAAATTGGACTTTGGACTGGGGGATGGGGGAAAACAGTTACAAGAACTTTAAAAAGCACAACAAATTTAAATATGGGAGTTTGGATAGAAAAGATGATGGTGTCTAGCCATATCTAATAGGTAACAGAATTAACTAATATTAATAGTCTTTTAATTGATATCTAGTATTTAATAGTGATATTACTTAATATTATATCTAATACTACCTAGCATCTTATATGAAACTCTATAGCCAGCCCTTCCTAAATGCCTCTTACCAAGACACTCCATGATCACCTTGCTATGTGGGGTTCCTTGATGCAGAAAGCTACAATAAGTTGTTTCTCATTATAAGTTTGTTCCCAGTGGTATTTGGCTGATGGGTGTTAACAAAGCAAAATACAAAATGTAAATAATTGGAAAATTTGGGTAAAGAGCATATGAAGAGGCAGGTGCTGTGGCTTGAGCCTGTAATCCCAGCTACTTGGGAGGCTGAGGCAGGAGGATAGCTTGAGTCTAGGAGTTAAAGGCTGCAGCAAGTTAGGATTGTGCTACTGTACTCCAGCCAGGGCTCTTAAAGCTCCAACATAATCCTTGACTCCATGTCCCACATCCTGGTATAAGAGATAGACTCCCAAGGCCTTGGGCAGCCAAGTGATATGACTGAGCAGTGGTCTCAGGACCACTTCTCAGAGGGCAGTGGTCCCCTTACCACAGATCCATTAGGTAGTGCCCTAGTGGGGACTCTGTGGGGAGCCCTCACATTTCTCCTTGGCACTGCCCTGGTAGAGGTTCTCTGTTGGGGCTCCCCCACTGTGGCAGGCTTCTGACTGGGATCCCAGGCTTTCTCATACATCCTTTGAAATCTAGGTAGAAGCTGCCAAGCCTCCTTCATGCTTGCATTCTGAGCATCTGCAGCCTTAACACAATGTGGAAACTACCACAACTATCAAGGCTTGAACCCTCTGGAGCTGCAACCCAGCCTGCGCCTGGGGCACTCTAAGCTGAGGCTGGAGCCAGAGTGGCCGGATTCAGGGCACAATGTCTTGAGGCTGCTCAGGGCAGGGGGTCCCTGGGCCTGGCCCTTGGAACCATTCTTTTCTCCTAGGCCCCTAGGCCTGTGATGGGAGGGACTTTCCTGAAGACTTCTGAAATGTCTTCCAGGTCTTTTTCCCATTGTCTCAGATATTACCACTTGGCTTTCTGTTAGTCATGCAAATCTCTTTTGCGAGTGGTTGCTCCACAGCCGACATGTATTCCTCTCCTAAAAATGCTTTTTCTTTCTCTACTAAATGGCCAGGCTGCAAATTTTCCAAACTTTTATACTCTGCTTACCTTTTAAATATAAATTCCAACTTTAAGTCATTTTTTTGCTCCCATATATAATTGTAGGCTGTTTGAAGCAGTGAGGCAGCCAGGCCACTTCTTGAATGCTTTGCTGCTCAGAAATTTCTTTTGCCAGGTACCCTAAGTTATCACTCTTAAGTTCAAGCTTCCAGAAATCCCTAGGGCATGAACACAAAGCAGCAAAGTTCTTTGCTAGGACATAACATGGGTGACCTTTACTCCAGTTCCCAATAACTTCCTCATTTCCATCTGAGATCTCATCAGCCTGGACTTCATTGTCCATATTCCCACCAGCATTTTGGTCACAGCTATTTAATCAGTCTGTAAGAAGTTCCCATGGCTCAGTGAAAAAGTTAAAAAAAAAAAAGTTCCAAGTTTTCCCTCATCTTCTTATCTTCTTCTGAGCCCTCCAAACTTTTTCCAACCTCTGCCCATTAGCCAGTTCCAGAGCCACTTTCACATTTTCAGGCATCTTTATAGCAATGCATTGCACCTCAGTACCAATTTTCTGTATTAGTTCATTTCTGTGTCACTGTAACAAAATACCTGAGGCTGGGTAATTTATAAAGAAAAGAGGTTTCACTGGCTTACATTTATTCAGACTGTAAAGGAAATGTGGTGCTGGCATGTGCTCAGCTTCTGGTGAGGCCTCAGGGAGCTTTCACTCATGGGAGAAGGTGAAGTAGGAGCAGGCATGTCACAAAGTGAGAGCAGGAACAAGAGAGAGAAATTGGAGGACCCAAATTCTTTTAAACAACCAGATCTCACATGAACTAACTGAGCAGGAACTCACTAATCACCAAGGGGATAGCACTAAGCCATTTATGACGGACCCACCCCCAGGATCCAACACCTCCCACTAGGCCCCACCTCCAACACTGGAGATATGGAGGGACCAAACATCCAAACTATATCAAATGTAATTAAAAGGACTGGGTTGGACTCTGATGCTTGACCAAGTTCGAATTTTAGTGAATCTAAGCTTTAGCCACTTGCCTCAAAGCTGTCCCTAAGGGAAAAAATATACCAGGACAACAGTAAGTACCTCTAAGACCTGTGGTTACCAAAAGGCAATCAGTGTATGGGAAGGGTAAAACCAAGAAACTGAAACTACAGTGTACAGTGTGAAGGAATTGTTTATTTTGTAGCTTCTTAAGGAATCTTTACTCAACTGGATTGTGAGAGAAACTAAGTAGCAGCATCTTTGGTTTTAAATGTTGCATTGAAGAGCATATTTGGGTTTATGTAGGACCCACAGTTCACTATGAAACAATTACAGATGGTGATACATGATGCAACAATTACAGACGGTAAACACCTGATGCAGACACACAGGAGATGTGAAAAAAAAAAAACAACCAAAAACCCAATAGTCTTATCTATTTTGGGCTTCTAAAAGTTGTTAGGCCCGAAGGAAACTGAGTCACTGAGCTTGACCTCTTAACTTCCTTCTTTGTTTTCTTGTTCCTGGCTCAGACCAGATAGCATCTAAGATAAAAGATTCTTTGTCTGAGATAAAAGACCCCTTTGACTATTACATCTCTAATGCAGAATGTTAAATACGTTCTTCCCAATAAAAGGAAACACTGCTATCGAATTGCTATAACTATGCATTAATCTTGTATAGAAAATGCTGACATCCTGTTAAGCTTCCTAGACCCTGCCTACATAATGACTCTCAAACCTTTCCACTTCAGAGCACTTATCCAATCTTTTGAAGTCCGTGTCCTCCCAGGTGGACATCTTAAAATTTTGTGTTTGAATAAACTCAATATTTAACCATATTGCCTGAATCTCACTATCAATGTTAACAGATTGTTCCCAAGGGAACAGCCAGCCTGATCAACTGGATAAAAGACATGGTAATGTCTGCTTGCCCTGAAAAAGCGGACTGCTCAACTCACCCTATAAATGCTCGGTGGGATACCCCAGATGATGCAGCTGATATACCGCATGCAAGCCACGTGGGACTGAATTTATGATGACTGGGATATTCATCTGCTGAATATGCTTCTTACCCAGGTCATGGTAAATGCTGTGGCTAAGGGGGCCCCTTTCGCATGGATACCCCACGTGACTTTTGTAAAAAGAAAACTCAAAATGGAGATGGTTATGTCAGAAGTTTCTAAAAAGAGGCATGTGGAGTTGGACCTCAGTTATGTACACATCCAGATGGATTTTAACCTGTTTAACTGGGCCAAATTGTAAAACCAGCTGCATTTGATTGGAATTGTTTATACATGGCCTGATTGCGAAACTCTTGGGGAAACAGCTATGCTGAACTAGATTGATCATCAACCAAAGACATCCTAAGTTGCTAACCAACTGACATCAATCATGGACTGTACTAATACCTTCCAGATATGTAAACTTACAGTAAACATTTATAAGCCCCTGCCCAACCTTGCCTGGATAGAACAGGAAATGATTTAGCTGACTGCTAGATCTGTACTTCTTGATTGCAATTCACAAGACCCCACTTAAAACATCTTTTCTTTTGTTTGTGGCTCAGTATTGATTTTATTTATTAGTTGACATCTTAACTCTTGCAAAACTGAACAACAGTCCTAGAAGCCTTATCAGATTTGCTGTCTCAGCTTCCCTTTAAAGATATTAAAGATGTTAATAAAAACATTAGGTTAATTAGCAAGAGGAAAAAGGCAGAGGGCAGAGTCAAACGACTCATCCCAGAAAGCTAGAAATTTTTTAAAGGTCATTTAAAAAACAATGATAAAGGTGAAACTAAGAAGAAAGAGAGAGAGTCATGGGACTCATTCCAACAGGGTGAAAATCTTTAGATCATTATGTTAAATTAAGTTTAGCCTAAAGCTGCTTTCTTACATACTTTAAGTTAGGTATAAAGGTTTCTCCAGGCGGGTTATGGTGGCTCATGCCTGTAATACCAGCACTTTGAGAGGCCAAGGTGGGTAGATCACCTGAGGTCAGGAGTTCAAGACCAGCCTGGCCAACATGGTAAAACCCCGTCTCTACTAAAAATTAGCCAGGTGTGGTGGTGTGTGCCTGTAATCCCAGCTACTTGGAAGGCTGAGGCAGGAGAATCACTTGAACCCAGGAGGCAGAGGTTGCAGTGAGCCAAGATTGCTCCACTACGCTCCAGCCTGGGCGACAGAGCAGGACTCCATCTCAAAAAAAATAAAAAATAAAAATAAAAATAAGAAAAGGTTTATCCATATATAACGAACTGTAACCTAACTGGAAGTATAAACAGACTGTAACCTACTCTTGTGCCAGTCACTGAGTTTTGACCAATCAAAGGGAGCCAACTGTTCAAACAAGGATCAAATAAGGCAAAAGCTGAGCTGTAACCAAACTGGCTGTTTCTGTTCCTCACTTCCACTTTTTGAATGTCACGTTCCTTTTTCTGTTTACAAATCTTCTTCAACCACATGGTAGCAGTGAAGCTTCTCTGAATCTATTCTAGCTCAGGGGCTGTCTGATTTGCAAATTGTTTTTTGCTCAATTAAATTGTTTGACTTATTTAAGATTTTTTACTTTTAACAGTTTTATTAAGAAATGGAAAAAATAAAATGGAAATTGATGAGGCTAAAACAAAGGTCTGAACACAATAATATTGAAAGTTTGGTGGATCCTCTGCTGATCCCCCAATATTAAAGGGTTTCAAATAAGTTTGTTGTATTTACTCCAGTTTGGAGAAATTTTAAAAGGCCGAAGGTAAAGATTATGATGAGAAACCCCACTTGGAATTGCTTGGGGGCAGTAGTCAAGTAGATTAGTCAAGATAAAGATTGACAAGAGCCAGGGTCCTTTGGCTCAATCCCCTCCTGCTGACTCTCAGTGTTTCGCATAAGAGAGGATAAAATGGCTGGGGGGAGTGTTGGGGTGGGCAAGTGGTGGAAAACTTCCTGGGACTAGAACATAAAAATGTAAGGGTTGATAGGATTATGAAAGTTGGACTATTTAAACAGACTTTATATTAAGAAGTTGTATCTTCTTTACCTAAATGTTTTATGGGAATGGACATTGTATCTGACTAGGGAACGTTTCTCCTGACTAGCATTACAAAACAGAAGGCATATAAATCTACCCTTCAAGCAATATTAGTTGGACATGCTAAATGGGAACCAGTAAGATTGCCTGAGTCCGCACAGTGTAGAATAGAATCTGAAGTGCTGGTATGGACAAATTCTGTTTTGATAGCTCCATGTGGAATGTAGGCTGGGGCTTATGACAGAAGCCTGTGAGTGCCTTCTAGTGACAATTACTGAGACTTTGGACTAGAAAATTTTGACTTGAAGAGTATTTACTACCCCACTATGGGGCATTAACTGAGGCTAGCCCTATGACTGAAAGACATTAAAAATCTTGACACCTGAAATACCTATGCTCTCTTAGGTAATGTTAGGAAAACATTCTAATGGGGATGGCAGTGCCCAGAAGAGTTCCATAATAAAATGGAAATAGTTTATACAGAGTCATGCTACCTGGAGACTGACTCTGGAACTGTGTGAGAAGCTATAAACAACTCTCAACTGACCAGCAAAGAGCTGCTCATTTTGTGAATGGCAGTTCCAAAGTGAATGAACATATGATTTGGAAGGATGCCACCCTGATCAAAGAAGGTAAAAACATATCAGCTCAATGCACTGAATTACACGCTGTTTTCCTAGCAGTGATGAAAAACTGAATGGTGGTAGAAACCCACTTTGGGATCTTTACTGACTCATGGGCAGTGGCAAATGGCCTGGCCATACACTCAGGCAGAAGAGCAGTGGAGATCTGGTCTATTAAAGGGGATGCCCATGTGAGGCATGAACTTACAGAAATTTGAAGTAGGGGGTGTGCATTAAAGTAGGACCTGTTGATGCTCATTGGCAGAGCCCCCTTCAGGTTTTGAATCAACAAGCAGATATCCCCATGTGCTCCCTTGCAGTGGCTGCCTGGGTCCGTGAAATTAGTGGATATGGGAGTAGTGCAGCAGTGCAAAGATGGGCTAAATCGAGACATGTTCTTGCACCCTCTGAGGCACAAAATGCAGATGAAAACTGTTCTGTTTGTCAGCAAAAATGACACAGTGAAGATGGCTGTGAAACAGATTCCCTGGTGGGAAGGACCTGAGTGTAGCTGGCAAGTGATGCTGGTAGCCCTGGGAGGCTACAGATGGGTCTTGACAGCAGTAGACACTGATTCTTGACCGGGTTTTGCTTATATGGTGGAAGATCCAAATGTTCAGAGTGTTTTTAAAAAAAAAGAAGAAAGAAGACCAAGAAACACACTAGATATAGAGCCCACAATGTCCAGCAATGAATAGAGAGCGATCCTCCTCAGAGTAATAGTTTGATAGGGAAGTGGAACAGGCAATTAAAACATTGATTGTCTAAAACAAAGAGATAAAAGCATCAGGGCTGGCTTACACACCTTCGCAAGTGTGTGCTCATACCCAATGTCAGTGGGATAGCAATTTCTCTATTTTTCTGGTTGATCTGGGGAAGACCTGGTGGGAAAGGAGGCTGGGATGACTATGCAATTCTTGCCAAGGGAGGAGAACACCAGTATAATGATTACACTTTTTTTTTTCCTTCTTCCCCATATTACCTCAATTTTTTTCCCCATACCTGATGTAGTGGTCACAGGATCAGGGCTACAACTACAAGTGTTGGAAGCAGGGATGATTCCTAAGCAAGAAACCATAACTAAATTTCTAAAACTTGTGTCAGAATTCCTGAGGGCCCGATGGGGATGGGTTGTGCCTTCACCCCATCTGGCAAAATTGGGCTAACAGTGAATATAACTGTATTTCCTGATGGTAAAAACAGTCCACTATTCTGCACCTAAGTAACCTTACCCTATCTGAATGGAGGTGAACTGAGGGGGAAGCATTTGCTAGACTAGTATTGCTGTCTGCAGTCTAGACCGGCACAGTGGTGATTCTAATGTCCCTTCCAAAGGTGAAAAAGTCTGTGTATTAATGGAAAGAAGGAGAAACGGTAGCTGAGGGTAAAGGAATGAATAAATGAGTTATGAATTGAGAGAACTCCAGTAGTATATTAATACCTTAAGATGACACTGTCTCTTAGCTCAATTACACCAGATGCCTGAAATGGTGAAGCTATATGTTTTGCTAAGACCACTCCTACTTTTAGAACCGTATATCAAATGGAAGCCAGCAAACCTGAGTGGCTTCACCCACTGGACTGGACTTATTAATGTGACTAAATGGGATTCTGATAATGTGGTGGTATCTTTTGAGTTGCATATCCTTTTTTTTTTTTTTTTTTTTTTGAGACGGAGTCTCACTCTGTCTCGCCCAGGCTGGAGTACAGTGGGGCAATCTTTGCTCACTGCAGCCTTTGCCTCCCAGGTTCAGGTGTTTCTCCTGTCTCAGCCTCCCGAGTAGCTGGGACTACAGGCATGTGCCACCATACCTGGCTAATTTTCTATTTTTTGTAGAGATGGGGTTTCCCCATGTTAGCCAGGCTGGTCTCGAACTCCTGACCTCAGGTGATCCACCCACCTCAGCCTCCCAAAAGTGCTGGGATTACAGGTGTGAGCCACCACGCCTGGCTGAGTTGTAAATCCTTTTTATGTAAGAGGATCTGGGTTCAAAGATGGGTATGTACGGTGATAACCTAAATGCATATTTGGTCACTAACATGTCTCCTGGCATACAACTAAAATCCTTAGAATCTCCAAATTGATCTTTTGTATACTCATGAATTGAGTGATGGCTGGCAACCCCTAGGTAGTTTCAGGATGTGGCTGGTCACCTGAAAGACCAATGCATGGTTAGAGAGTAAAGGCATGGGACTTTCAGCCCCACTCCCCAACCTCTGGGAAGGGAGAAGGGCTAAAGGTTAAGCTGATCACCAGTGGCCAATGGTTTAATCAATCGTGTCTATGCAATGAAGTTTCCATAAAAAACCAAGAGGACTGGATTCTGAGAGCTTCTGGATTGCTGAATGCATGGAGGTTCCTGGAGAGTGGCATACCCAGGAAGGTATGGAAGCTCTGCATCCCTTCCCACATGCCTTGCCCTATGCATCTCTTCACCTGTAGCTTTTGTAATATCCTTTGTAATAAGGCAATAAGCATTAAAAAAAAAAAAAAAGCTTAATGACTGGGCACAGTGGCTCACACCTGTAATCCCTGCACTTTGGGAGGCTGAGGTGGGCAGATCACCTAAGGTCAGGAGTTCGAGACTAGCCTGGCCAACACGGTGAAAACTCGTCTTTACTAAAAGATGGGGTGGTGTGTGCCTATAATCCCAGCTACTTGGGAGGCTAAGGGAGGAAAATCGCTTGAACCCGGGAAGTGGAGGTTGCAGTGAGCTGAGGTCATGCCACTGCACTCCATCCTGGGCATGAGAGTGAGACTCTGTCTCAGAAAATTTTAAAATGAATTAAATAAATAAAAATAAGCTTAATGGTTACTATCTTTATATCCTGCATTCAGAGGTAATTAAGCTTTTTTTCTTGTCGTATTTCTGCAATTTCTGAATGCTCCATAATGATATGGTTCTATAAGAATACAAAATATGTGTAATAAGTGAAAAAAAATAGTTGACAAAGTTTTAAAAGAGTCCTAGAGAGGTCCAAGCCCATGAGCCTTGCTCTCAAGGTCCCTCCAATCAAGTCCTAACTTGCTTTCCCCACCTGATTCCAGCTAGTTCCTCTGCCTCAGTGAGAATGTATCCCAGAAATTATCAGCTTGGGCTCTGACCTGGACCGCAAAGGTTCCAACCCCGGCTCCACTTCTTATTACTTGGGCAACTATGGGCAAATAACTCCTGCTCCCTTTGTTTCACTCTCATCTTTAATAGACGAAATGGCAGTACCTCTCCACAGAGCTACCATGTGGTGTACGTGAATTTCTTTGTATAAAGCCCTTAGAATTGAAGATAGCAATTAAGACTTTCTTATCAATGCCCATGCCCGATTACAGCATCCTACAATAGATGTGAACGTTACTGTAAAAGAAAAATGACAAGTCACACTCGCGTGGAGCTTTGTTGTCAGTAGTCAAGGAGTCACTCCGTCTACCTCCAAGCAATCCTTTTAGAGAAGTCAGGATGCGGAAACAATGCTACAAAATACCATGGTTGTGTCACCACTCTTGACAAAACGGTCAAGACCCTCCCCTCCTTCTGTGGAAATTGGAGATACCCCTCCTTTTCCTAAATAAGAGGTCAAAGACGGCCGGGCGCGGTGGCTCACGCCTGTAATCCCAGCACTTTGGGAGGCCGAGGCGGGCGGATCACGAGGTCAGGAGATCGAGACCATCCTGGCTAACACGGTGAAACCCCGTCTCTACTAAAAATACAAAAAATTAGCCGGGCGTGGTAGCGGGCGCCTGTAGTCCCAGCTACTCGGGAGGCTGAGGCAGGAGAATGGCGTGAACCCGGGAGGCGGAGCCTGCAGTGAGCCGAGATCGCGCCACTGCACTCCAGCCTGGGCGACAGAGCGAGACTCCGTCTCAAAAAAAAAAAAAAAAAAAAAAAAAAAAAAAAAAAAAAAAAAGAGGTCAAAGACTGTCCAGAATTTTCCAGCGTTCTGCAGGGATCAGAGAGAAGAGCCAGCTGGAGCTCTGACACCAGCCCAGGGACCTGACCATTTCTCAGGAAATTAACAAGAGATCGCCATTCACTATAACAAAAACTGTTTTAAGACTCTTTTATATTACCTCTTTCAATTCCCAAGACAATTCTATTAGGAAGGTCTTAATATCCCCCATTTAAAGAAAAGCAAAAAGAGTCCCAGGGAGATTAAGTAACACCCCAACGTTGTACCGGGGGAATCGGCCCCGCGCCAGTAGTGGAGGGATGCGGATTGGGCGAGCTGAGAGCCCCAGAAACCCCCAAATAGGGCGAAACGTGACAGGACCGAGTCCCTCGGGATGCTAGGACAGCCCTAAACGCAAGAAGGCTCTGCCGCGGGGATCGCAAACCGCCGCCCTCACCCTTCCAAACCTTTGCTTTCCGACGGTGCTTCCTTTCCTCTAAATCTATCGCTAGCTCGTTGAGGGTTCCGAGAGTAGGTCCAGGAAATTCAGAAGGGCCTGCGAGACGCAGAACAGCTCAAAATATCACAGAATAAAGGGTAACTCCCGCAGCCGTAGCTCCCGCGACTCCACAGAGCGTCTGGACTACATTTCCCAGAATTCCCCGGATCCGCCTGCCTGACCGGAAGTGCCCGCAACCCCACCGACCGTTGGGACACTTCCCAGAATGCCCAAGGAGTAAACGTTCACAGTTTTACCCTCCAGGGGGAAGTGTTGCAACTACACATAGCTTCTTGACCACACTTCTTCCAAGTCCCCGGAGAAGGGAATCCCCCATCCGAAACGCCTATGTGGTAATATGGACTCCTGCACTGAGTGTCGTCCTTACCTTTCTCTTGAGTCTTCAAGCAAAAATATTACATAAACAATGATTTCCTGATTGAAATATCCCCAATTATTACAGAAGTATTACTGGAGAGTGAACAAAGGTGGAGATAAAATCTTCAAGGAACTGACAAGAAATTACTGCTTGAGGATCAGTAGAGAACTGAAAAGAGGAAAATGTTTAGTATAACCTGATGATGTGAGGCTAAAACTGATAGTATGCCGATGTAATTTTAATTTACATTTCCTGTATTGTAAATGAAATAGAACATCTTTTCATATTTTCAAAGGCCATGATTATTATTATTATTATTATTATTGGTAAATTGTTCAAACCTTTTGCCTACTGTACTAATGGCTTTTTGGCCTTTTCCCTCATTTTTCAAATATTGTTTATACATTTGTAAAATAATTCTTTTTTCTTGAAAATTTCTTTTTTTTTTTTTTTTTGAGGTGGAGTCTCGCTCTTTCACCCAGGCTGGAGTGCAGTGGCATGATCTCGGCTCACTGCAAACTCTGCCTCCTGGGTTCATACCATTCTCCTGCCTCAGCCTTCCAAGTAGCTGGGACTACAGGCACCTGCCACCACGCCAGGCTAATTTTTTGTATTTTTAGTAGAGACAGGTTTTCACCGTGTTAGCTAGGATGGTCTTGATCTCCTGACCCCGTGATCCACCCACTTCAGCCTCCCAAAGTGCTAGGATTACAGGTGTGAGCCACCGCGCCTGGCCCAAAGTTTTCTTTTATTAGTTTTATAGATTGAGGTCTTAGATTTAAGTTTTTAATCCATTCTGATTTGCTTTTTTATGTGGTAAGAAATAGAGGTCTAGTTTCATTCTTCTGCATATGGATATCCAGTTTTCCCAGCATCATTTATTGAAGAGACTGTCTTTTCCTCATGTGTTCTCAGCACATTTGTCAAAAATTAGTTATCCGTAGGTGTGTGGATTTGTTTCTGTTCTCTGTTCTGTTCCATTGGTCTCTGTGTCTGTTTTTATGCCAGTACTATGCTGTTTTGGTTATTATAGCTCTGTAGTATAATTTGAAGTCGGTTTTGTTCTTTTTGGTCAGGATAGCCTCAATTATTCTGGGTTTTTTTGTGGTTCCATATAAATTTGAGGCTTTTTAATTTCTCTGAAGAATGTCATTGGTATTTTTAACAGAGATTGCACTGAATCTGTAGATTGCTTGGGTAGTATGGATATTTTAACGTTACTGATTCTTCCAATCCATAAACATGGAACATTTTTCCATTTTTTGGTGTCCTCTTCAATTTTTTTGTCAGTGTTTTATAGTTTTTATTATAGACAACTTTAACTTTTTTGGTTAATTCCTAGGTATTTGACTTTATGTGTGGCTATTAAAAATGGCATTACTTTTGATTACTATTGATATAGAAAATGCAGTATATCCATACATTAAAATAGTATCAAAAACACCATGAGCAAAAAGAGAAAGCTGAAGAATCATGCCAGATTAATGGAGACAGGAGAAACGTGACAGTTAAAAACAATTCATAAAAGTGGGCTAAACTGGAGGCAAATCAATTACAAGGAATTTAAATTAAAAACAGAATAAATTTAAATATGGAGTGTAGGTTAAATAACATATGAACATGCACAGGGGACACACACAGACCTGCAGAAGCCAGTGCCTCATCCCCATGCTAACACCACCACCAGCACTACTACACATACAGTCACCAGTGGGGGGCCCCCCTGCCCCCTTGAGCCATGCTGCCTCCACCACTGCTGTAAGTGCTCACACAGAAGCAGGCATCCCGGTACCCACTAGCAAGCTGCCACAGCTGATGAGCATGCACCCCACCATGTTGCCACTGCCACTGCAGCTGGCATGTGAGAATGATGACAAATCCTGCTGCCACTGCACTAAAAAATGCTTTGGCACCATCCATTGTAGTGCAGTGACCAGCAGCCTGGGAACACCTTGGCCACCCCAGTGTAGTTCGTTCCCAACCTCGAGAATCCAGAGAACAAAGTCAGGGCCCGATATAAGCCCACCAGAGTTACAACATGCAGTCCAGGAGTTGAGAGCTGAGCATTGGCCCCCTAAAATCTTCCTTAAATGAAGCCAGTCAGCTGAACTCACCTTATACCACATCAAACCCTCAAGGATATCAAATAGAATAAAAGGAAAAAAATAATCCAAAGGAAAGCAAGTTCAAAGATTGAAGAACATCATCCCATGAAGATGAGAAATAACCAGCTCAAGAACTCTTGTCAATTCAAAAAGCCAGAGTAACTTCTTTCTTCCAAATAACCATGCTAGCTCTTCAGGAAGGGTCTGAACAGAGCTGAGATGGCTGAAATGATGGAAATAGAATTTGGGATATGGATAGGAATGAAGATCATTGAGATGCAGGAGTACATTGAAACCCAATCCAAAGAAGCTAAGAATCACAATAAAATGATACAGGAGCTGACAGACAAAATAGCCACTACAGAAAAGAATGTGGCCAACCTGATAGAGCTGAAAAATATACTACAAGAATTTCATAGTGCAATCTCAAGTATTAATAGCAGAATAGACCAAGCTGAAGAAAAAAATCTTGGAGCTTGAAGACTGGCTTTCTGAAGTAAAACAGTCAGACAAAAATAGAGAAAAATTAATGAAAAGGAATGAACAAAACCTCCAAGAAATATGGGGTTATGTAAAGAGACCAAATCTACAACCCATTGGTGTTCCTGAAAGAGATGTGGAGAATCTTAGACCACATACTTCATGATATCACCCACGACAAATTCTCCACCTAGCTAGAGAGGTCAACATTTAAATTCAGGGAATGCAGAGAACCACTGGAAGATACTTCCACAAGAAGATCACCCACAAGACACATAACCAAAAGATTCTCCACGGTCGAAATGAAAGAAAAAAAATGTTAAAGGCAGCTAGAGAAAAAGGACAGGTTACCTACAAAGGGAAGCCCATCAAACTAACAGTGAACCTCAGCAGAAAGCTTACAAGCCAAAAGAGATGGGGAGTCAATATTCAGCATTCTTAAAGAAAAGAAATTCCAAGCCAGGATTTCAAATCTGGCCAAACTAAGCTTCATAAGTGAAGGAGAAATAAGATCCTTTTCAGAAAAGCAAATGCTGAGGGAATTTGCTACCACCAGATCTGCCTTACAAGAGTTCCTGAAGGAAGCACAAAATATGGAAAGGAAATAATATTACCAGCCACTGCAAAAACACACAGAAGTACACAGACCAGTGACACTATAAAGCAACCACACAAACAAGTCTGCATAATAACCAGCTAACATCATGATGACAGGATCAAATCCAAACATATCAATACTAACCTTGAATGTAATGGGCTAAATTCTCCAATTAAAAGGCACAGAGTGGCAATCTGGATAAAGAACCAAGACCCATTGGTATGCTGTCCTCAAGAGACCCATCTAACATGCAGTGACACCCACGGATCAAAATAAAAGGATGAAGAGAAATCTACCAAGCAAATGGAAAACAGGAAAAAGTAGAGGTTGCAATCCTAATTTCAGACAAAACAGACTTTAAACCAAAAAAAAAATCAAAAATGACAAAGAAATGCATTACATAATGGTAAAGAGTTCAATTCAACAAGAAGACCTAACTATGCTAAACATATATGCACCCAACACAGGAGTACCCAGATTCATAAAGCAAGTTCTTAGAGACCTTCAAAGAGACTTAGGCTCCCACACAATAATAGTGGGAGACTACAACACCCTACTGACAGTATTACAAACTTTATTGAGGTAGAAAATTAACAGATATGTTCAGGACCTAAACTCAAAATTGGACCAAATGGATATAATAGACCTGTACAGAACTCTCCACCCCAAAACAAGAGAATATACATTCTTCTCATAGCCACGTGGCACATACTCTAAAATTAACCACACAATCAGACATACGACAATCCTTAGCAAATGCAAATTAATGGAACTCATACCAAACACACTCTTGGACCATCACACAGTAAAAATAGACATCAAGACTTTAAAAAATTGCTGAAAACCATGCAATTACATGAAAATTAACCTGCTCCTGAATGACTTTTGGGTAAATAATAAAGTTAAAGCAAAAATAAAGAAGTTCTTTGAAACTAATGAGAACAAACACACAACATACCAGAATCCCTGGGACACAGCTAAGGCAGTGTTAAGAGGGAAATTTATAGCACTAAACACCCACATCAAGAAGTTACAAAGATCTCAATTTGACAGCCTAAGGTCACAACTAAAAGAACTAAAGAACCAAACACAAACCAAACCCAAAGCTAGCAGAAGACAAAAATAACCAGAATCAGAGATGACTGAAGGAGACTGAGACATAAGAAATCATTCAAAATATCAACGAATCCAGGAGGTGGTTTTTTAAAAAAAAAAAAAAAAAAAAAAAAAAAAAAGATTGTTAGCTGGGCTCATAAAGAAGAAAAGGGAGAAGATTCAAATAAACAGAATCAGAAATGACAAGGAGAATATTACCACTGACCTCACAGAAATACAAATAATCATCAGAGAATATTATGAATATTCTATGCATATAAAATAGAAAATCTAGAAGAAATGCATAAATTCCTGGACATATACATCCTCCCAAGACCGAACCAGGAAAAAACTGAATCCCTGAACAGACCAATAACAAGCTTCAAAATTGAATCAGTAATAAATAGCCTACCAAAATAAAAGCCCTGGACCAACAGATTCATAGCCAAAGATTCTACCAGATGCACAAAGAAGAGCTGGTAGCATTCCTACTGAAACTATTTCAAGAAACAGGAGGAGGGACTCTTCCCTAACTCATTCTATAAGACCAGCATCCTCCTGATACCACAACCTAGTAGAGACACAACAAAAAAGGAAAACTTCAGGCCAATACCCTTGATGACTATCAATGCAAAAATCCTCAACAAAATACTGGCAAACCAAATCTAGCAGCACATCAAAAAGCTTATCCATCAGAATCAAGCAGGATTTATTCCTGGGATGGAAGTTTGGTTCAACATACGCAAATCAATAAATGTGATTCATTAACATAACAGAACTAAAGACAAAAACCACAAAATTATCTCAATAGATGCAGAAAAGGCTTTTAATAAAATAACACTGCTTCAAGTTAAAAACTGTCAAACTAGCTATTGAAGAAACAAAATAATAAGAGCCACCTATGACAAACCCACAGCCAACATCATACCAAATGGGCAAATCCAGGAAGCATTCCTCTTGAAACAATTCTAAAAGAAACTCATCTTTCTGGCCAGAAAACTAGAAAGAGGGCCTCTGTGAGTCAGAATGTACGGGGGAAACTCCCTTTCATCTCTTTTTTTTTTCCTGGCCCTTCCCAATGCCAGCACTGATGGTGGAACTGCACTAATATTAGTGCATATGGGCATGTAAAATCCTGAGTGAAAATGTATGTGTCTACATAGAGAAACTGAAAAAAAAGAGGTTTCTGTTGTTCAAAATGTGGGGAGGGATAGTTATCATATACTTCTCTTTTCTCTCACCAGAGTAAGCCAAGGGTGACAGGGTGGGAGGCTAAAACTCTGAGAGAATCTCATCTTTTGGGTCAAAGGATCTTGGGAAGAAAGCCCTTAGAATCCAGAGAGTGTGAGAGAAGATTCAGAAGACAGAGCTGGAGAAGGGGATACCTCAGTTTTGTGGATGAACTGACACAATTTAAAGGCTCATCACTAAGCTGCACATTCAAATAACACACCCAAAGGAACATAGAAAATACATTGAGAACTGAACTATGTTATAAACCATTGCTCAGAAATCAGCTAATCCCTGAGTGGCGCACTGAGTGGCATACCCAAATAGCACAGCAAAGTTTTTAGAACTAACACATAGAGAATATGAGACAAAACTTATGATATGAAATTAAGTACAGGAGCAGTGGCTCACGCCTGTAATCCCAGCACTTTGGGTGACTGACGTGGGCAGATCACTTTGAGATCAGGATTTTGAGACCAGCCTGGCCAACATGGTGAAACCCCATCTCTACTAAAAATACAAAAATTAGCCAGGTGTGGTGGCATGTGCCTGTGATCCCACCTATTTGAGAGGCTGAGGCAGAAGAATTGCTTGAACCCAGGAGGCAGAGGCTGCAGTGAGCTGAGATCACGCCACTACACTCCAGCCTGGGTGACAAAGCAAGGCTCCATCTGAAAAAAAAAAAAAAAAAAAAAAAAAAAAAAAAGGAAATTAACCTGGTTGGCTGCCTGCTAAAACAAACAAAAAAAAAACCCTCAATGTTCTCTATAGATTTTAATAGGACCAGAATCTGGTAACATATTGAAAATGCTCAGGATACAATCCAAAATTACTTGACATGTAAAAAGAAAAACAGGTATATCTGACCAACTTCAAGAAAAAAGCCATTCAAGAGATTCCAACCCCTGAATGTTCTAGATTTTTGCATTATCAGAGACTTTTAAAAGTTATTGTAATCATTCTCCATGAGGTATAGGTAAGCATTTGAAATAAATGGAAATATAAAAGTTGTCAGAAAACTAGAAACTATAAAAGCAAGCAAATGGAAATTTCAGAACTTCAAAATACAATAACTGAAATTTAAAATCAGTCAGTAGCAGAATGGAGATGACAAAGGCAACTCATTGAGCTTAAAAACTGAACAGTATAAAATATCGAATCTGGAGGAGAAAAAGCAAAAATAGAAAAACTGAATTGAGCCCTAAGGACATTTGGGACAACATTAAAAGATCTAACATTCCCATGATTGGAATTCCAGAAGAGGAGGAGAAAGGTATTGAAATAGGAAACTTTTCAAATAAATTATAGTCGAATACTTCACCAATTTAATAAAAGAAATACATCTGCAGATTGAAAAAAAACTCAGCAAAACCTAAATATGTTAAAAATGAAGAAAACCATACCCCAGCACATCATAATGAAACTATTAAAATATCAAAGATAAAGAAAAAAATGTTTGAAAGCGTTTAAAGAAAAATTATACATTGCAAATAGGGCAACAACATTTCAAATGAATGCAAATTTCTTATCAGAAACCCTGGATGTCAGAAGACAGTAAAACAGCATTTTAATGTGCTGAAAGTAAAGAATTGTCAATCCAGACACTATATTCAAGGAAAATATCCTCCAGAAATGGAAATAAAATAAGGACCTTCTCAGACAAAAGAAAACTAAGAGAATTCATCACTAGCAGATATACTTTAAAAGAAATGCTGAAGAGAAATAATATCAGAGGAAAGTTTCAGGAATGAAGGCAGAGAAACAGAACTAGTAAACTTGGTACACATAATACAATATTTCCCCCCCTTTTAAATTCTTTAAAATATATATGATGGTTGAATATAAAAATTTAAAGTATTGGTGGGATTTTTCAGAGCATGTAGATATAATACACACACTATAGCACAAAGAGGGGAGGATAAACAGATCTCAATAGTTGTAAGTTTTCCTTGTTTTATGTGAAGCCATAAACTATTGGCTCAAAATAGTCCACAATATGTTAGGTATGTATACATGGGTTTCTAAAGCAACACTAAATCAAACAAAACAAAAGATAAAACCAAAGTCATGTAGTTTAAAAATAACATGTACAGCCTGGGCAACAGAGTGAGACTCTTGTCTCAAAAAAAAAAAAAAAGCAAATAAAAATAGAGCATTAAAAAAATTCAAATAATCCAAAAGAAGAAAGAAAGGAGGTAACATAGGAACAAAAAGAGACAAACACAAAAATAATAAATTGGTAGGTATAAATCAAACCATATAAATAATTACATTAAATGTGAAGTGTCTAACTACATAAAGACAATGTTTGTCACATTATTTATTTTAAAAACGTGACCCGATCAGGCATGGTGGCTCACACCTGTAATCCCAGCACTTTGGGAGGCCGAGGCGGGCGGATCACGAGGCCTGGAGATCGAGACCATCCTGGCTAACGCGGTGAAACCCCGTCTCTACTAAAAATACAAAAAATTAGCCCGGCGTGGTGGCGGGCGCCTGTAGTCCCAGCTACTCGGGAGACTGAGGCAGGAGAATGGCATGAACCCGGGAGGCGGAGCTTGCAGTGAGCCGAGATTGCGCCATTGCACTCCAGCCTGGGCGACAGAGCCAGACTCCGTCTCAAAAACAAATAAACAAACAAACAACAACAACGAAAAAAAGTGACCCAACTATAAGCTATATATAAGAAACTCACTTTAAATATAATTATATAGAGAGACTGAAAATGGAGTGATGAAAAATATGTGCCATGAAAGCACTAATCAAAAGATTGCTGATACAACAAGTGTTGGCACAGATGTGGAGAAATTGGAAACTTTGTGCATTTCTGGTGGAAATGTAAAATGGTGTTGTCACTGTGGAAAGCCATATAGTAGTTCCTCAAAAAAAAAAAACATAAAATTACCATTTGATATAACAGTTCCACTTCTGGGTGTATACACAGAATGATTGAAAGCAGACACTTGAACAGATATTTGTATAGCAATGTTCATAGCAGCATTATTCACAATATCTAGAAGGTGGCAACAACTCAAATGTTTGTGGATAAATGAATAAACAAAATGTAGTATATACATACAACAGAATATTATTCAGCCTTAAGGAATTAAATTCTGACACGTGATAACATGAATGAAGCTTAAAGACATTATGTTAAGTGAAAGAAGTCAGACATAAAAGGACAAATATTGTATGATTTCACTTATGCGAGGTACTTAGCATAGTCAAATACACAGAAACAGAAGGTAGAACAGCAATTACTCGGGGCTAGGGAGAGAGAGGATGTGAAGTTATTGTTTAATGGGTACGGAGCTTCAGTATGTGATGAAGAAAAAGTTGGAGATGGACAGTAGTGATAGTTGCACAACATTGTGAACATACTTAGCACTACTGTACTGTTCACTTAAACAGTTAAAACAGTAAATTTTATGCTATGCATATTTTACCACAATAAAAAGAAAAACTGTATGGCTGATGTGGTTACATTATTATCAGACAATTTAGACTTTAGGTCAATGAAAACTTCCAGGGATAAAGTGAAACATTACACAATTATAGAGGATCCATTCACTAACAAGACCTAACAATCCTAATTGTGTATGCACCTAAAAACAGAGCTCCAAGATACATAAAGCAAAAACTGATCAAACCTAAAAAACAAAATAGATAAATACACAATCAGAAATGAAAAATAAAAACCATTATTTATAATATTAGTAACATTGAAAATATGAAATATTTCTACATAATTTTTATAGCTATTCTGCCCTCAAGGAGATGGGATATAATTCCCTATTTCCTCCATGTGGGCTACTCATAGTGACTTCCTTCCAAAGAGTACAATATGAGAAAAGGGGAAAAAGGGTGAGGAAACCTAACAAACACTACCTCAGCTACGTGATCAAGGTCAACGTCAAGAGTGATAGGTTATATTGATCATGTACCCTTGAATGACATGATAAAAATGGCACTTTACTTCCCCAAAATCCATAACCTTAATTTGATTATGAGGAAAAAATCCATTTGAGGGATATTCTACAGGACACCCGACCAGCACTCCTCAAAACTGTCAAGGTCATCAAAAACAAGGAAAGTCTGAGAAACGATCACAACCAAGAGGAGCCTAGGGAGACATGATAAACTAAATATAACATGACATTCTGGATGGCATACTGGCACATAAGAAGGACATTAGTTTAAAACTAAATAAATCTCAACAAACCGTGGACTTTAGTTAATAATAATGTATCAATATTGGTTCATTAATTCTAGCAAATGTAACATACTAACGTAAGAAGTTAATAACGGGAAATTGGGTATAGGATATATGGGAACTTCCTCTACTACCTGCTCAATTTTTCTGTAAATCTAAAGCTTTTAAGTATGAGGTTTATTTTAAAAACGACTATTTAAAGGTAAATCTGATCAAAGACATTCATGACATCTACATTGAAAGCTATAAAATATTGCCAAGAGAAATTAAAAGAGGCCTAAATGAATGGAGCAATATAGTATGACTAGGGATTGGAAGATACGATATTGTTAAGTCATCAATTCTTACCAAATTGATCTATAAATTGAATGCAGTCCCGATTAAAATTTCAGCAGGCTGGCCAGGTGTGGTGCCTCATGCCTGTAATCCCAGCACTATAGGAGTTCAAGAAGTATGGATCACTGGAGGCCAGGAGTTCAAGACTAGCCTGGCCAACATGGCAAAACCCCATCTCTACAAAAATTAGCCGGGTGTGCTGGTGCACACCTGTAGCCCCAGCTACTTGGGAGACTGAGGCAGAGAATCGCTTGAATTCAGGAGGTGGGGGTTACAGTGAGCTGAGATCATGCCACTGCACTCCAGCCTGGGTGACAGAGTGAGACTCTGTCTCAGGAAAAAAAAAATCACATGCTTATTTGAGGAAATTGACAAGCTGATTGTTAAATTCATATGAAAATCCAAAGCATCTAGAATAGCCAAAATAACCTTGAAAAAAAAAAGTTGGAGAATGGATGTTGCCTGGCTTCTAGACTTTTTATAAAGCTGCAGCAATCAAAACAGCATAATATTGGCATCAAATTAGACATATAAATCAAAAGAACACTATAGGGAGTCCAGAAGTCAGAAATAAACCCACACACATATATGGTCAAATGATTTTGTACCAAAGGTCTCAAGTAATTTAAAGAAGGGAAGAGTCTTTTTAAAAAATAAATTGGAAAAAAAATGAATTGGAAACACCTATACAAATAGTAATTACTTGGATGACAGGCCTAAATATAAAAGCTAAAGCTTATAAAACTTCTAGAAGAAAACATAGGAGAAAAATCTTATCTTTGGAGTCAACAAAGATTTATTAGATATAATTTTTTTAAACTAACTATAAAAAAATTGATAAATTGGACTTCATAAAAATAAAAACCTGCTCTTCAAAAGATTTTGTTAGAGATAAAAATACATGCCCAGAGTGGAGGAAACTATTCTCACTACACATATCTGACAAAAGGTTTTTTATCCAAAATATAAAAGAACTCTTAATTCATGAATAATAAGACAACTAACGCAGTTAAAAAAATGGGCTCAAGATTTAAGCAGACACTTAACAAAATACATAAATGGCCAAAAAGCACATGAAAATGTGATGAATATTTGGTCACCTGTAAAATGCAAACAAAAACCACCGTAAGCACTACACACCCACAGAATGACTTAAAAAGTCTGACAACACCAAGTGTTGGTGAAGATTGGAGATGCTGGAATCTTCATACATTTTGATGGAAATATAAAAATTACAACGCTTTTGGAAAACAATTTGACAATTTCTGATAAAGTTAAGCCTATAAAAAAATTACAGAGTGGCACAAGGGAAGTTTTGAGTGTGATGGATATGTCCATTACCTTGATTGTGGCATGGTTTCTTAAGTGTGTACATATGTTAAGTCTCATCAAATTATATACTTTATGGGCAGTGTACTGCACATCATTTATGCTTTCATGATGCTATAAAATATAATGTAAGCCAGCACTTTCACTATTAGGAATCTAAACTACAGAAGTAAAAACATATGTTTACACAAATCGTTGTTGTGAAATGTCCACATCAGCTTTGCTCATAGTAGCAAAAAATTGAAAGCATTCCAAATGTTTATCAAGAAATAAATGGATTAATAAGTTGTGATATATCCGTATCATTGAAGAGTACTCAACAGTAAGAACAAATAGTACAACCCGAATGAATTTTAAAAACATGCTGTGTCGGCTGGGTGCAGTGGCTCATGCCTGTAATCCCAGCACTTTGGGAGGCTGAGGCAGGCAGATCACGAGGTCAGGAGACTGAGACCATCCTACCTAACACGGTGAAACCCCGTCGCTATTAAAAATACAAAAAATTAGCCGGACGTGGTAGTGGGCGCCTGTAGTCCCAGCTACTCAGGCAGCTGAGGCAGGAGAATTGCGTGAACCCGGGAGGCGGAGCTTGCAGTGAGCCGAGATGGCGCCACTGCACTCCAGCCTGGGTGACAGAGCGAGACTCCAACTAAAAAAAAAAAAATGCTGTGTCAAAAAAGCTTCACACATCAGAGTACATGTTATATGATTTCATTTGTATGAGATTCTTCGGCAGGAAAACAACTAATTTTTCATAACAGAAAGCAGATTAGTGCTTGGGGCTGGGGACATGATAGAACAATCATAGCAGGGCTAACGAGAGCTTTTTGGGGTGTGAGGTAAATATATGCATCTTGAGTGTGGTGGCTTTACACAAGTGTACACGTTCATCGAATGTACTGAACTTTATACTTTAAAAGGGGTATGTTTTAATAGAAATTATACTTAATAAAGTTGATTTTAAAACATTAGCAGTACCACTACCTCTAGTAGTAATAATGTTAAAAGAAATTGAGTTTGTAAAATGTCCAATGACATCCAAGGATTAAGTAAGGCTATTTTCTCAAATCTGAATTTGAGTAACATATTTAAATCTCATATAGACACACTTATAGGAGAAACATGTTCAGGGTAGTCGTCTTTAGATTTGCATTGTTTGGGAAAGGAGCAGCCTTTGCTCACAAGAGCACTAATAAAAGGCCACAAGTTTAGGATTATGAGAGAGACCCGAATTCTGCTAAGATGTAGGGATAAATAATTACCAATCATTATTCTGGAGGTCACAAATTTGCAACTTCCCCAATTATCCCTATAAATAACATCGCTATTGCAGAACCTAAGATTGGCCTTTTGCTATGTCTTTTCAGGCTTTTGCATTTTTGATGACCAGACGACCCCACCCAGACCCACAACTCTTGACTCTACCAGTCATGTGACATCCACCCAGAAGAGGTCCACACCCCATGATTGCATCCCCAACCAATTGCATCCCCAACCAATAAACACACCCATTCCCTAGCCCCCTGCCCACCAAACTTATCTTTTAAAAACCCCAGCCTCCAAATTTTCAGGGAGGCTGATTTCAGTAACAGTAAAACTTCTGTCAATGAAAAGACTCAAACTCTGTAAAATATTTGAAGAGATTATTCTGAGCCAAATGCAAGCGTCCATGGCCCAGGACACAGCCCTCAGAAGACCCTGAGAACATATGCCCAAGGTGGTCAGGCCACAGCTAGGCTTTAGACATTTCAGTGGGACATAAGACATCAAGCAATATATGCAAGACATACGTTGGTTTAGTCCAGAAAGGTGTGACAACTGGAAGCAGAGGGGGTTGGGAGTGGAGGGCAGGGTGGGGGGTAGGGGTATGTGAAGTGTGTGGGGCTTCCAGGTTATAGGCAGATTCAAAGATTTTCTGATTGGCAATTGGTTGAAAGAGTTTATCTAAAGTCCTGGAATCAATAGAAAGGAAATGTCTGGGTTAGGATAAGAGATTGTGGAGACCAAGGTTCTTATTACGCAGATGAAGCTTCCAGGTATCAGTCTTCAGAAATAAGAGATCGTAGATTTTTCTCATCAGACTTAAAAAGGTAGCCCAGGCACGGTGGCTCACGGCTGTAATCCCAGTATTTTGGGAGGCCGAGGCAGGCAGGTCACCTGAGGTTGGGAGTTCGAGACCAGCCTGACCAACATGGAGAAACCCTGGCTCTGTTAAAAATACAAAATTAGCCGGGCATTGTGGTGCATGCCTGTAATCCCAGCTACTTGGGAGGCTGAAGCAGGAGAATCGCTTGAACCCAGGACGCGGGGGTTGTGGTGAGCTAAGATTGCACAATTGCACTCCAGCCTGGATGACAAGAGCAAAACTCTTAAAAAAAAAAAAAAGTGTCAGACTCTTAGTTGATTCTCTCCTGGATCAGAAAAAATGGCCTGGAAAAAGGAAAGGAGATTCTCTACAGAATGTAGATTTTTCTCCACAAAGGACAACTTTGCAGGGCTATTTCATGATAGGGCAATGAAACATATTTGGGGTTGAAGTATTTTGATTTCCTTTCTTATCCGTCATGAGGTGTTATGACAGGTTGGAAAGTAAGTCACATTATATAGGGTTAAATTAAAACCCCTCTCATGAGACTTTATGGTTTGGAGGGCTTGACTCCCCAGACCCTTAGATAGGAATTTGAGTAAGAAAAGAAAAAACGGCAGAGTTCAGTCTTCACCCTGGTCTCCCATTTAGCCAGCTCTACGTGTATTAAACTCTTTCTCTATTGCAATTCCTGTCTTGATAAATTGGCTCTCTCTGGGCAGTGGGCAAGATGAGTCCATTGGGTGATTACATTTCTCTCTTCCTCTTACTAAAGTAGAGAGAGTACTTATCCAGATTTTGAAATGGCATTGATGCAGGGCAGTTTCTTGGCTTTGCTCAGGAAAGAATTCAACAGCAAGCCAGCAGCGGAAGAAAGCAGGTTTATCGAATCAACAGTGTTAAAAGCTCAGTGACTGTTCCTTGCAGACCAAGACTAGCCCACAGGCAGTGTGCCCAGAGTAGCAGCATATGGGCTGTTGGCTGGGTATATTTATACCAACTTTTCATTACATGCAAATTAAGGGGTGAGTTACTCGGAAATCTCTAGAAAAGGGGTTGGTAACTTCCAGGTGTTGCCATGGCATTTATAAACCGTCACGGCGCTGGTGGGAGTGTCTTATACTGATAGGTAGCAAAGGGAACTTACAGGTTGCTTTCCATCACTTGCTGGTTTCAGCAGGTTTCTTATCTGATCTTGGAATCACGCCCTGCTGGTCTCCTGCCTCAGCCTAAATTGAACATTGTTCAGATGTTTACAGCTACTCCTATGTAGTCAACTTCCATTTTTTCTTCTTTACCCTTTCATAATAAACTTGGAAAAATATTTAGTTTCTACCTAGGAGAAAAGTGAATAGTATAGCTTTCTGTATTTTTTGCACTTCATGTCTTAATCCCTCACTTCACCTCCCTCTCCTTACTGAATATTCATAGACACTTTGGCAAATCATAAGACACCTTTACAGATTCCTGATTCTGAGAGCAAGAAGTGATGTGATTCCTTAATCTGAACTGAATGTTTTCAAGATTTTATATAGGATAGAGCCTATTCAATACTATAATACTTTCTTCAGTATCCTGCGAATGAAAGAAAACTAAGCGCAAGAAAAGTGGAGAATTTTGCTGCTTTTGTTTCATGTCCTGCTGGATGATTGCATCTCCTTTTTTGAGCATTTTTAATCACAGATGAATCCATACCCATATTATAAAAGGCTTGTTGCTCTGGGCGGCTCTGGCCACCTCTTTTATTACCTCTGTTTTTAGCTCACACATAGCATTCCTTTGTATTTTCCTTTTTTTTTTTCATATTCGCAACTTCTGTCACGTATAAAAGGGAACAATGGCAAAAGGAAAAAGCAGGCTGAGCTCTACAAGCAATGACTTAGACTCCCCCCGCTAATTCAAAAGGAAAATTGCAGGCTGGCGGGAAGCTCAGCCCTACAGAGGATTCTGGGACGTGTGGTCCAGACTTTTGGGGGCACTTCAGCTCTGGGAAAGCGCGGCTTTGTTATTTGCTCCCCTGGGGAAATAGGAACCTATACCCCAGTGCTCAGTGGGTTCGGTGGTACTTCGACTATTTGAGGACGAGAACACGAAGCCCGCTCCCCTTGGGGATTCTGAGAAATAAGATTCGGCCGTGGGAGTCGAAGCCCGCACTTCCGCCCAGGGGGCGGGGCAGCGGCTTCCGTTCCTCCCGGGGATGCTGGGAAATGTAGTTCCAGAGCTCCCTGCTCTCCCGGGCACTTCCGCGGCAAGAGGTTGAGAGCGCGGCCTTCATTCCTCTCGTGGAAGTGAGTGAGTCCTGGGACCCCGCGACCTGTTTTAACTTTTATGGTTTGGTCGTAGGATCAGCAGGGCTCGCACTTCGGTCAGCAGGAAAAGACGCTGCGGCGAGCAGCGGAGGGCGGAGTTGAATGGCTGGGCAGCTGATTGCCTTACTGTATCCGGAGCTGCTGCGTTCGGGGCGGTTCGGGAGTCCCCTGGTTGGAAGTGGACCTGAATGGGGAGGCGTCTGAGGATCTCCTGGGCTCTCAGCGGCCCGACCCGCCTTCCCCCACCTCCCACAGCTCTGTAGCTTCCTAGCGGTGTAACGTTGGGTGAGAACTTAATCTTTCGGTGCTTAGTTTCTGGTCTTAGTTTCCTCTTCTGCAAAAGGAAATATTAACCTTATATATTTGTTTTGACAATTAGTAATATAGTACAAGTAAAATGTGTATGGAATAGTACAGGAATGTGGCAACATGTCGGCCGTTAATATTAAAACTATCATAATAAAAAATATTCATTTTTCAGCAAGCGCCTGGCTCTTCTTTCTGATTCCTGCAGGAAAGGAGGCTGTTCTTGGACTATGCCTGACCCGTTTTTTAAGAAAGAGTGCATCACTCAACAGGTGGCGTCTGGAGTTATCCTCTGTGGATTTTCCAGGATCTCAGACAAGATCGTGCAATCTCCCAGCCTCCTTTCCTTCCCCTGCCCTGACTTCTGAAAGAATGCTGCGGGAGAGGAGGAAGGAGAGCATCCTGGCTTCTGGCAGCAGAGCCCCACTGTGACAGGACCTAGCATTCACCTTCCTCTTCTGTTCCGAGTGCGAGAAGGTATTTCATTCCTTGCAAATGTTTCTGCTACAGAAGTGTTCCGTTATTGTATAATTGGAGAAAATGTGACATGAATATTAGTCACACTAGTTAAACATTGGGTGCTGAGTATCACTCTGAGGGCTTTATAAAAACTAACACACTGAACCTTCACAAAGGCCTTGTGTTGTGGGTTCTGTTCACCTTACAAAGGTGATGTGGGTATTGTGATATGGGTACTGTTATTACACCAATTATACAGATGAGGAAATGGAGAGAGCCTAATTTACTTTCCTATATCACAGTGCTAGTAAGAACAGTGGGATTTGTGTCCTAGACTTGGGTTCCTTACATCTGAATACCCTTGGTCTCACAGTTTGAAATCCCAATTTAGAATTAGGAAATAAAATAGATAAATGATCCATATAAATAATCATAGGAAACTGGCTGCAGAGGAGCCATTTGAGATCAAGTTGGGGAGGGAGGTTGGAATTTTACTGTAGAAGATTTTGAAAGCAAGGTTGAGTTTAGACTTTAGAAAATTTTGAAAGAATTCTCATTTAATTTTAAGCAATATTAGTAGTTCATATTTTGATCATAGAGATGCACGTTCTCTGTACAGGATGTAGAAAATACAGAAATATAAAATATTACAAATTTCCTTAATACTAGGATATAGATAATTATTAACATTTTAATGCATTTCTGTTTAGCAGTTTTTAATGTGTTTTTGTCTGTGTTTTATGAAATTGTTATCACACTATTCATAGTGGGTTGTTATTCCCTTATTTTTTACTATGGAAATATCCAAACATACCCAAATATAATGAACTCTTATGTACAGTCACCCTGCTTCCATTCTTGCTAATCTTATTGCCTCTCCCACCAACTTTTTTTCCCTTGAGTATTTTAAAACAAACCCAGATGATGAGTCAGTAAGGCTTAAAAACTAATAATTATCATTAATTGTGTTTTTTGTTTTTTGTTTTTTTTGAGATGGAATCTTGCTCTGTTGCCCAGGCTGGAGTGCAGTGGTACGATCTCAGCTCACTGCAACCTCTGCCTCCTGGGTTCAAGCAATTCTCCTGCCTCTGGCTTTACAGGTGCCCGTCACCACGCCCTGCTAATTTTTGTGTTTATAGTAAAGACTGGGTTTCTCCATGTTGGCCAGGCTGGTCTCAAACTCGACCTCAAGTGATCCGCCCACCTCAGCCTCCCAAAGTATTGGGATTCCAGGTGTGAGCCACCATGCTAGGCCTCACTAATCGTTTATATATGAAGGCCAAGGGAGGGGCAATTATATTCATTTGCCAGGGCTGCCATAAGAAAATACTACAAATTGGCTGGATTATACAGAAATGTATTTGTTACAGTTCTGGAGGCTAAAAGTCCAAAATCAAGGTGTCACCAGTTTTGGTGGCTTGTAAGGCCTCTCCCCTCTGTGTGCGTGAGCTCCCTTGCTGTAAGTCAACTTCATCACCTCTTTAAAGGCCCTATTTCCAAAGACAGTTATTTCTGAGATACCGAGCGTTAGGACTTTAACGTTTTGAGAGAGGCACACACAATTCAGCCCATAATAGATATTAACAGTAACTCTGAGGTTTTTCACTCCTGGCAGCTAGGAGAATGCTACTTATGTGAGAAAGCTAGAAAGAGTTGCAATTAGGAAAAGAAAGATGATTGATTTTCTTTGCTTTTTTGGAGTTGCACTTGCCACTGGCATATAACTCTTGGTTTCCTATCTCTCTCCCATTAGACTTCAGGGACCTCTGTTTCATGGACATTATCATATTCTTCTCAAGAGTACCCAGCAAGAGGTTTGCAAAGAGGAGTTATTCAGTGAGTAAGTGATTCATGTAGCTCTCCAACAGGCATCTGGATTTTGGGTGCTACAGCTTGCAATTAGAGAACAAAATAGAAGGATTATCCACAGTCCTTGTCTGTTATCTCACGTTTGGTGGGCTGTAGAATCCATCAACTTTTTCAGGGTATTCAAAAGTTGATGAACAATTGTGGATAATATTGTCAAGATCTAAAACAAACTCCCTTAAAGACAAATCAGACCACTATTAAGGTTCAGTTTTTTGGGTTTTTTGGTTTGTTTGTTTTTTGAGACAAAGTCTTGCTCTGTCACCCAGGCTGGAGTGCAGTGGCGCGATCTTGGCTCACTGCAACCTCCGCCTCCTGGGTTTCAGCAATTCTCCTGCCTCAGCCTCCCCAGTAGCTGGGATTACAGGCGTGCACCACCATGCCCAGCTAATTTTTGTATTTTTAGTAGAGACGGGGTTTTGGCATGTTGGTCAGGTTAGTCTTGAACTCCTGACCTCAAGTGATCTGCCCGCCTCCGCCTCTCAAAGTGCTGGGATTATAGGCATGAGCCACCATGCCTGGCCAGGTTTAATATTTATCACATGGAGATTCTGATGAGGACTGCTGACATTTGTTGGGTGTTTCTTATGACTTGGAGAATTTCTAGTGCTTTCCATGCACTAGCTTATTTGTTCTTTATGACAGTTCTATTTTATTCTGATTTTAAAGATGAAAAAACAAACACACACAAGTTAACTGTACAGATGAACTGGTGGCACAATCAGCGGGGCAGAGCCAGAATCAAACCTCAGCAGCTAGGTTGGAACACTCAGTGACTGAATAACCTTGGGCAAGTTACTTGACCTTTCTGTGCCTCAGTTTTCTTACCCGTTAAGTAGGGATGATATTAATAACTACCTCGTAAAGTTTCTGTGAAGACTAAAAGAGATAGGTAACATGTTTGAAATAGTGCCTCGCATGTAGTAAGTCCTCTGTGTATTATAGACTAAAGCTGGCCTTCATCTTCTACAGATAAGTTGAAAAATGCAACAAGTTATTGAAGGAGCAAAGGTATATATATATATGTATACATTTTTTTTTTTTGAGACAGAGTCTTACTCTGTTGCCCAGGCTGGAATGCAATGGTACGATCTCAGCTCACTGCAACCTCTGCCTCCCAGGGTCAAGCAATTCTCTGCCTCAGCCTCCCGAGTAGCTGGGATTACAGGCACCCGCCACCACACCCAGCTAATTTTTTTGTATTTTTAATAGAGACGGGGTTTCACCATCTTGGCTAGGCTGGTCTTGAATTCCTGACCTCGTGATCCACCCGCCTGGGCCTCCCAAAGTGCTGGGATTACATGCGTGAGCCACCGTGCCCAGCCTCAAAGGTATATTTTTAAGTATTCTTTTCTTCCCCACTTTCCACTTTTTCTATGGATACTTTAATTCTGTTACATATTTAAACAAATGTGCATAGTTTCTATGATAGTGATTGTTGAAACCTACAACTAATTTGCTGTCTTTTGAACTTAGCAAGTCCCTGTGAGATGATTATATAGTCTATATTGCCTTAATAAAAAGGTCTAAACCTGCACTATCCAATAGTGTAGCCATTAGCCGCATGTGATTATTGAGCACCTGAAACGTAACTAGTCTGAATTGAGATATGTTATAATGGTAAGGCACAACAGATTTCAAAGATCTAGTATGAAAAAAAGAAAGTAAAATCCCTCAATAATTCTTATACTGATTACAAGTTGAGGGGATAATACTTTGGATATGTTGGGTTAAAGAAAATATATTGTTGAAATTAAGTTCACTTGCTTCATCTTACCTTTTTCAGTGTAGCTATGAGAAAAATTTAAATTACACGAATAGCTTGCCTGCATTATATTTCTGTTGGACAGCACTGATCTAAGGGAAGCCTCCCCTTTCATTCTGAGAATTTGCCTCCAGAGGCATTACCAGTCATTCTGCAGCCCTTTCCTCTTATAGAGAGCTCTAGGGGCATCTTATACTGGAGAGGAGCAGGGAGCTGATAATCAGTAGGCCTGAGTGCCAGGCAGAGCCATGCCCCTGGTTTCCTGGGTGCCCTTGGACAGTTCCGTCAACTCTTTAAGAGGCAGTGTAGAATAATGCAGTGGTTCTTGAACTGTGGTCACATCAGAATCATAAGACCCAGGCCCTACACTACTTCTATGAGCTTGAACTTCTGTGTTCTTTATTAGTAATTCGGGGGTTCTGGTCACCTATTCACCCCATTGGTGAAGGAGGGATTCCCCCACCTGCTGCTGTCTGAGTGTCCCCCAAACATTGAAACTTAATCCCCATTGTGGTGTTATTAAGAGGTGAGGCCTTTGGGAAGTGATTAAGTCATGAGGGCATGAAGGAGTTAATGCTCTTATAAAAGAGGCTTCAGAGAGAGAGTTCACCTCCCTTGTTCTTCTGCCATATGAAGACTATGAAGACACAGCATTCCTCCATCCCCCTTTTCCCCTACCCTTCTGCCACGTGAGAACACAGCAAAAAGGCCCTTACCAGACCCACAACCTGCTGGAGCCTTGATCTTAGACTTCCCATCCTTCAGAACTGTGAGAAATTTCTGTTCTTTATAACTGTGGTATTTTGTTATAGCAGCAAAAATGGACTAAGACATCACTTGAACTGGCAGGAGGTGGCTGAACACACAAACCCTACAGTCAGCCTATGCAGAAGAGGTTGGTAGCAGTTTATTAGTCACATATTCACAGCCCAGGGGACTTGCACTTGAGAATAGATTGAACCAACAGGGGCCATGGTAGGTTGATTTTGTAGTGACAGGAGGGTAGCAGGGTGACCCTTGGTTCCTGCAAGAAGATTTAATTGACCATTTGGATAATTCTACAGGCTGGCAGGGAGGCAAAACCTGTTATGTGGAGGACCTGGTGGGGTACAGGTGGTCTGGCTAAATAGGATGAATTGTGCCTAAGTCTTAATTTTATAAAAGCGGCTGAGTGACAACATGGAGAGATTAATGCCAATGAATAGTATTTTAATACTTAGAGTTCCACTGGTACATCACACCACACCAGACCACATGAAGCCCACTACAGGCAAGGGTCAGGAAGCAGACAGAGAAAGGAACTGGGGCCTATGCTTTTGTAATATGTCTTTCTCCCACCGGTGAAAGCTGCTTGCAGGGAAGATGCACATAATTTTGGTTGTTAGTCTGGCCCTGTGATTCAGCAGACTTAGGGAGAGATTAGGAATAGCAGATATCAAATAGCCAGTACATAAAACATGGTTAACACACGAGGAACTAGGCGGGCAGGGATCCTTTCCCACTGAGAGGGCATATCTGGAGAGAGCCGGGAGCTCATGGCTAGGCCTTCAGGGCCCTGTGAGTCTCAAAGGTATCAAGGCAGCACATGGAACCTCAGGCCTTTTGATATGGATGCATACCAGGGTTTGAGAACCACTGTCGAGCGGTTAAGAACATGGGCACAGGTGTCAGATTGCCTGGGTTCATTGCCTGGCGCAGCCAGTGTTCTAGTAGATAAGGCACTGGGTGAAAATCCTGACTTTTCTGTTGACCACTTGTTAAACATGAACAAGTTACTTCTGTGTGCCTCTATTTCCTTGTCTGTAAAATGGGCATAATTATTTTCTCAATCTCTATCATCGTTATGAAAATCAAATGAGATACTACATGTGAAGAATTTATGTAAACAGTGCCTTGGTAGGCAGCCAGTCAGTTGCTCTAAATGTCAGTTGCTGTCATTATAGGGAGTATTTTATGAGTGGCCTGGGTTTTTTCGTGGTTAATGTTAGGAGCATAGAGTTGATCTTGGCACTCCTGATCCTAACAAACCTTCATTCCTGTTTGTTAGTATCAGAGAGAAAGAGAAGCTTGCAGTTTGTTTTTACCTTCTTTAGTTCTTTTTGCCCTTAGGCAATAGGATAGTATATTGGGGTTAGTAGAAAAATTGGAGGTGAAAACCTCAAGTGTTAGTCTGTCTGAAAATATCTAGAGAGCTGTTTTAACTGATGCTATCAAATTGTAATTTAGGGACCAGCAGCATTAGCATCACCTGGGATATTGGTAGAAATAGGTTCTTAGTCCCATCCTTGATCTTCTGTAACTGCAGAAGTACACGTGCAGGTTTGTTATACAGGTAAACTTGTGTCATGGGGGTTTGTTGTACAGATTATTTTGTCACCCAGGTATTAAGCCTAGTACCCATGAGTTATTTTTTCTGGTCCTCTCCCTCCTCCCACCCTCCACCCTCTGATGGAGACCCCAGTGTCTGTTGTTCCCCTCTGTGTGTCCATGTATTCTCATCATTTAGCTCCCACTGATGAGTTAGAACATGCGGTATTTGGTTTTCTGTTCCTGTATTAGTTTACTAAGAATAATGTCCTCCAGCTCCATCCATCTTCCTGCAAAGGACATCTTTTTTTTTTTTTTTTTTTTGAGACAGAGTTTCGCTCTTGTTGCCCAGACTGGAGTGCAATGGTGCGATCTTGGCTCACCACAAGCTTGACCTCCCAGGTTCAAGCAATTCTCCTGCCTCATCCTCCTGAGTAGCTGGGATTACAGGCATTCGCCATCATGCCTGGCTAATTTTGTATTTTTTTTTTTAAGTAGAGACAGGGTTTCTCCATGTTGGTTAGGCTGTTCTCGAACTCCTAACCTCAGGTGATCCGCCTGCCTCACTCTCCCAAAGTGCTGGGATTACAGGCATGAGCCACCGCGCCCAGCCAGGACATCTTTTTTATGGCCGCCTAGTATTCCATGGTGTATATGCACCACATTTTCTTTATCCAGACTGCTATCGACGGGCATTTAGGTTGATTCCATGTCTTTGCTAAATACCAGACCTATGGCTTTTTAACAAAAAAAAATTTTCTATGTTCTTCAGGGCTGAATTACATGCCTTCAGATATCAGATCTCTACATGGCTTTCTCTTCCTATATTTGAGGTCTCTGTTCAAATATAAGAGAAATCTTTCATGACAAAAACTTATTCTGTGACAGCCCCTCCTTTCATCTCTTTATTTCTTTACCCTGCCCTATTGTTCTTAAAAGTGTCTCTCGCTATATATTGGGGGTTTGCTATGCCCTCGTAGCCCATTATAATATCATCTTTGTGAGATCAAGGTCTTTGTTCACTGCTGTATATTTCACATCTAGGACCCTTGGCTGGCACAGAGTAGACCCTTCAACAATCATATGTTGAATGAATGGTTCAGGTGATAAATAATGAGGCCCTGATCCACATGGTGTATCTATCAACTATTCACTGAGTCATTAAAGTAGTCATTCTGCAAATCTTTGGGTTCCTTCCAAATGCTTGTAGCAACTTAGTAGGTGTTGGGGATGGAGCAGGTAACGAAACTCCACATTAGACAAGTGTAATGAATATAAGTAAGTAAATACCTAGAAGGATGTTAGAGAGGAATAAGGGCTTAGAGAAAAGAAGTAAGCAGAGATGAGGGATAGGAAGTGTTGGGGTGCAGTTAGGAGACCGAAATTATCTACAGGATGGCTAGAGAGAGACTCTGAGGTGGTGACATTTGAATAAAGAAGAAAGAGTTTCTTAGTGTGGCTCTCCTAATAGTCTCTCTGGCCCTAGCCTCCTCCCCCTCAAGCCTCCTCCCGTTTGAGAGGGTAATCTGTTTCTAACATGAAAGGAATCTTTTTACTCTCCTTTCCAGAAGTCCTTCAGTGTTCTCCTGCTGACTTGCAGATAATTTTGTGACTTGAACGTCATCATGGTTTGAATTCTGCCTTCCTGCCCATCTCTTTCTGCCTGTTATTTGTCTTCACATCATGACATTTGTTCTCTGGGAGTTTTATAGTGATTTGGATTCTCTGGCTAATAGAGCTCAGTCACCCTCCAGGGCTCAGATTAAGCTACGTTTGTGTAGAACCCCTGCATTCCACTGTGGGCTTATGAGCCCATTCCTCATGCCGCTAAAGGATGCTGTGCACTACTCTGGCATTTAGCCATGTATAGTGGAATTGCCAGCTTCCTCATCACTAGACTGTGAGCATCTTGAGGCTGGGGAATTGCATCTCTTTTAGTAAGGTTCCCACAAGTCTTCACTGAGTTAATAAACTCATCTATTTAATGAAGTAGTAATAAATTCACCTGTCTAGTGCTAATTATGCAGGCAGTAAAATAGTGTTCATTCTCAGTATTTTAAGGGACACATTCTGTGGGTTCTGTAACAGTGACTCATGTCGTCGCTGACTTTGAAGAGCAGAGAGTACTTTCCTAAGATGGTATTTAACAAAATCCAGAGATGCTTTTCCTTCCAAAGATGACTCTGATCTTGCCCAAGGACAGCAAATATGGTGAAAGACCTAGAGGAAAAATTTGGAAATAAAACCCTTGCTCTCCAAATCTTCCCAACTGGAGTCAGTCTCAGGGAGACTTAGACCAACTAGTCTAGTCTTCCTATATGCCTCTCCATGTCTGATGGTGGGTTCAGTCATTTCTGCTGGGCAATTACTTTGTACAGGAACTGTTTTAGGTACTTGGGATATAAAGCTGAATAAACATTCATCACAAGACAGATGGTTGATTTGCTATTATCTCTTTTTTTTCCCGAGGCGATGGAAATATATCCCCTGCAAAACATTCTTACTGAGCAGAGGTTGCTGGGCAAATATAGAGTTAGAACAAAGTGAATTACAAATTCTAAAAGAGTATTTCAGGCTGGGTGTGGTGGCTTACGCCTATAATCCCAGCACTTTGGGAGGCCAAGGCGGGTGGATCACTTGAGGTCAGGAGGTCGAGACCAGCCTGGCCAAAATAGTGAAACCTCATCTGTACTAAAAAAACAAAAGAAACAAAAAAAATTAGCCAGGAATGGTGGCGGGTGCCCATAATCCAGCTACTGGGGAGGCTGAGGCAGGATAATCTTTTGAACCCGGAAGGCTGAGGTTGCAGTAAGCTGAGATCATTCCACTGCACTCCAGCCTGGGCCACAGCGCAAGACTCCATTTCAGAAAAATAAATAAATAAGTATTTCTTCTAAGATTGGAAGGTTTTATGTTTCCCTTTTCAATAGTAAGGGTTCTTCTATCTGAAGTAAGAGAACTAAGAATAATTTACTAATAAATCAAGCAGTAATTAACTAATACTAAGCTTTTAATCTGGGTATTTTACTCGTTTCCACCCTCCATAGAATCAGAATCATACCCTGAGAGCTACAAGAACTCCATTTTTCACTGTGCAGAGGCTCTCTGCTGAAGGGTCAAGTGGAATCTGGAATCCAGCCCATGTTTCCCCATCATCAAGCCATGTGAAGCTGCAGACTCCGTGAGTGCCTTAGTCCATTTGTGCTGCTATAACAAACAATACCATAGGCTGGGTGGCTTAAACAACAAACCTTTATAACTCACAGTCCTGGAGACTGGGAAGTCCATGATCAAGTCACTGGCAAATCCAATGTCTAATGAGGCCACTCTTACTGGTTCGCAGAAGCTGTTGTCTTGTATCTTCCTGGGAGGAAGAGAGAAAGAGCTAGGTTACTTGCTTTTCTTACAAGGAAAGCAATCCCATTATGGAGGCTTCACCCTCATGACCTAATTACCTCCTAAAGGCCCCACCTCCCAATAACATCACATTAGGGCTTCAACATAAGAATTTTGAGGGGACACAGACATTGGTCCACAGCAGCAAGGGAGGGGCTCCCTGACTGTTTCATGTAAAGCATCTGCATGGGTTTATGTGTAACTTCTATTGATTGTTTAAGCTGCCAGAAACTGTTCCACATGTTTTGTGTATACTTAGTCACTTTCACTGACCTTCCTATGAAGTAGGTATTATTATTACATCCAGTTTATAGATTAGACATTAGAGCACAAAGTACTAGCAAGTTGGACATGCCTGTATTCCAGTACTGGTGGGCTGGTTCTGGAGTCTAGACTGTTCACAACTCTGTTCTCTACTCCCTCAAGCAGCTCCCTTGGCTTCAGAGTCCAATCTCCATTTCTGTGTCTGTCTTTTACCCCTAACTCTGGAGCCCTCATTTCTCCTTCCATGAGATCTTAGACTCCCATCTGCTTATTTTTGTCTTTAGAAGCAACAGAGAGACAAGATTTAGAATACTGGCTCTGGTATGAAAGCTGGATTCAGGTACTGTTCCTGCCTCTTGACCTCACCAAGCCTCAGCTTCCTCGCCTGTTAAATGGATACAATTGTCGTCATTATCATCTGTTGAGAACTCCCTAAAATGCCAGGTACTATGCCAAGGGCATTGCATAAATTCACTCATTGATTCCTCACAGTAATCCTATGATTAACATCCTGTTTTCATTTCCCTTCTTATAGCTGAGCATAGGCACAGAAGTTTAGGTGTTTGGACCAAGGTCACACAACTGATACAACAGTAGCTTCTTCACAGGTATGTGTGAAGTACCTTAATGAAACATCATGTGCCAAGTTCTTCATAAGGTCCCTAATATGTATTTAGTTAAATATCACCATTTTTGTTGTTATTATTGTGCTTCCTATAGCTTGTTAATTTCAGTGACATTATCTAATTTATAGTTGCATAAATCTTGCAGAGTCATGATTTTTTATTAAATTTTCTCTGTCTCTATGATAGTCTTTTTAAGGCCCTACTGTTAAAGTAAATTTTGCAAGGTCTTTTTTTTTTTTTTTAGATTTTTTTTTTTTCTCTTTAGAGATCACTCTGTTGGCCAGGTTGGTCTTGAACTCTTGGCCTCAAGCAGTCCTCCCACTTTGGCCTCCCAGAGTGCTAGGATTACAGGCATGAGCCACTCTACACAGCCAAATTTTGCAAGGTCTTATACCTTTTAGAAACCAGTCCATATAGTCAAATTCATAGAGATAACGTGGTTATCAGGGGCTGGGAGGGGGAATGGGGAATTATTACTTAATGGGTACATAAAAAATTCTGATGATGGATAGTGGTGATGGCTGCACAACAATGTAAATGTACTTACTGAATGTAACCACTTAAAAAATGGTTAAAATGGTAAATTTTATGTTACATATTTTACTATCAAAAAAAGCAGTCATCTATGTACAGTAGTCCCCCCTTATCCACAGCAGATACCTTCCAAGTCCCCCAGTGAATGACTTAAACCTCAGATATTACTGAACCCTAAATATACTATGTTTTTCCTTTACCTACATACTTATGATAAAGCTTAATTTATAAATTAGGCACAGTAAGAGACTAACAACAATAACTTATAATAAAATAGAATAATGATAAAATACTGTAACAAAAGTTCTATAAACATGGTCTCTCTCTCTCTCTCAGAATATCTTACTGCACTGTACTCACCTATTTTTGGGCCATAGTTGACTTCAGGTAACTGAAACCACAGAAAGCAAAACTATGGATAGGAAGGACCACTGTAATCTTAAATACTATTGCAAAAGCCTCAAATTAAGTATGGGAAACCAAGAGAGAATAACAGGTATTTCAGAGGTTAAAGGCGAGGTTAAAGTAGAGGTTAAAAAACCTCTACTAAAGAATTCATCAGCTGAGTGTGGTGGCTCACACCTGTAATCCCAGCACTTTGGGAGGCTGAGGCAGGAGGATCACTTGAGCTCAGGAGTTTGAGACTGGCTCGGGCAACATAGCATGACCTCGTCTCTACAAAAAGTAAAAAAATTAGCTGGACATTGTGGTGCACACCTGTGGTCCCAGCTACTTGGGAGGCTGAGGTGGGAGGATCGCTTGAGCCCAGGAGGTCAAGGCTTTAGTGAGTCATGATTGTGCCACTGCACTCCAGCCTGGGCAGCAGAGCAAGACCCTCTCTCAAAAAAAAAAAAAAAAAAAAAAACAAAGAATTTATTGGTAGAAACCATTAATGAGCACAGGTTTTATGTTATGTGCTTTTCTGCAGCTAAGAAATAAGGTACTCTGAAAATATTCTTTGAGCTTTTTCCCTCATTTAATTTGTAAACAATCCTATGAGATTGTTAATTCTCTCATTGTTAATCTCTTCATTTTATGGATGAAAGAACTGAGGCACAGAGATATTAATAATTTGTCCTGGATTTCATAGCGAATAAATAGCAATGCCATAAATCTAGGCATTTGGCTCCAGAGGGGCCAAATACTCTTAATCTGGGTATTTTACTCTCAATTTCTACTCTCCCTAGAATCAGTCATACCCTGAGAGCCACAAGGAGAAATTATGTTGGGGGCATACTCTGTGTGGTCGGGCAGGTCACTTGCTGCCAGGGTCTTACAGCCAAAGGGACAAGTAGTATCTGGAATCCAGCCTAGTTTCTGTTCATCAAGCCAGCCCGAGGAAGGAACACTGTTGCTATTTCACGTTAAAAAAAACAAAACAAAACAAAAAAACAGCTATGGTTTTTTTTTTGGCCAAACTCTCATGGCTTTTTTCTCCTTCCCTCATGTTTTCTCCTTCCCTCTTAAGACTTGGCACTTCTCCAGAAGGAGGAGGACAAAATGACGAAGTCTAAGGTGAGTTGGACCTCCCTTTCTCCGTAATAATTGTCATCTCATTTCGGAAAGATTACATACACCTTATTCTCTTTGTTAGGAAGATGAAGGAGAACGGTAGACATTTGAGAACCTCTTGTGTGCCAAATGCTTGCTGCTTTTTACTTTTGTGTTGTTTAATTTTTGTTGCTTTATTTTATGACTTTATAATTTGATAAATAAGCATAGAATAGAAAAGTCAGTAACAATAAAAATCTCTCATTTTCCTACTGTTTCCCTTACAAAACAACTGTTTTGATTTTCCATGTTCTTTTCCTCAGATGTATTCATAACTGCGTATTTATAAGCATTGTATAGACAAAATGTTCAAGTTACATCTTTTCTAATTAATATTACTTGCTCCATATTTTTATAGTCCCTTGAATTGATGTTACTCTGTGGTGTGTATGTGAGATAACTTTTCTCCTCATTCATCAATGTTTAGGTAGTTTAGAATTTTTACTGAAAATTGTTACTACAGTTTTCCCACAAATAACCATTTTTTCCAAAAAGCAATTTGAAGGAGTTTTGCTATTATTTACTTTTAATGTTATAGAAACACTATATTGAAAAAGTACTTTTGATATGTGGTACTTTGGGTAGTTCCTATGTCAATGATTCAGATATGACATCGTGTGACATGATGCCACTGATTTTAGAGAAAATATTATTAGATATTTCCACAAAAGAAAGCTAGATTTTTCTTACCCAGGCCTGAGTTATACCCTATGTATGTTTACTTACTGATCCGTATTCTTTTACTCTTATGTTAACTTATTTTATTGAAGTAATAATGTACTTAATTTTAAAAGTCTAGCAGTACAAGAGGACTTACCAGATACTTCTCTTACTGTATTTATTCCTCAAACCAACTTTATGAGGCAGTCCTTGGTCTCATGTGCATTTTAATTACAAAGAAACAAGACTGTAGAATTGTGGAAAGTTGCTTAGTTTCACATAGGATACCAAAGATCCAACTGATTTCAAAAGACTCCAGGATTTTTACTTGACTGAAGAGAGAGAGGCAAAGAAAAAGAATTCTCCACTTAGTGGACCTGGCCCTTTTTGTGTGGGTGCCTAGCTTGTCCTGGTTAGTGGAAGATGCCTCAGCTAATACTGCCCCTACTCGATTCACTCTCCAGTGGCCTCTTCTTCTCTATGACCACTGTCATTCATTTAGGGTACCTGAATGTGCAGGGCTCCAGGGATGAACAGTCTTCATATGAAAAGTTAAAACAGTATGATAATGCTGGCCGAGCACAGTGGCTCACACCTGTAATCCCAGCAGTTTCTGAGGCCGAGACAGGTGGATAACTTGAGGTCAGGAGTTCGAGACCAGCCTGGACAAACATGGCTAAACCCCATCTGTACTAAAAATACAAAAATTAGCCTGGCATAGTGGCGCACGCCTGTATTCCCAGCTTCTCGGGAGGCTGAGGCACAAGAATCACTTGAACCCAGGAGGCGGAGATTGCAGTGAGCTAAGATCGTACCACTGCACTCCAGCCTGGGGAACAGAGCAAGGCTCTGTCTCAAAAAAAAAAAAAAAAAAACCAATACGATATGCTAGTGCTTCTTTATCATGGGTGACTTTACCGCCCACTGCCCCCCCCCCCCACCCGGCAACATCTGGAAACATTCCTGGTACCACAGGTCGGGGGTGCTACCAGCATCTAGTAGGTAGAAGCTAAGGGTGCTGCAAAATGCCCTACAGTGCCCTAGACACCCCCACACAGCAGACAACTATCCCGCCCAAGACAGCAATAGTGTTGAGTTTAAGAAACACTCCTGAACACAAAGCTATAAAACACCAGCAAAATGTAGGTGAACAACAACGTATATGCTAAAAAACGACTTAAAATCATCACTAGAAATTTTACAGAGTTATAAGATAAAATTCTAAATGGAATATCAATAAAAGGACAGTAACAGGTGAGATACCAAAGAAAAATAAAGATGTCCAGTAAATATACGAAAATATGATCTTACTAGTTAATTACAGACCAAAAAACCCAGTTGTTTCTTAATGAACAGATTGCCTAGGATTTTTTAAAAATTGGTTATATTCAGTGTTATCTATGGTATGGAAAATCAATGATACTTTATCTTGGGGGAAGGATAAGACAGGGAAAAATTGAAAAGAAAATCTGTCGTACATCATAATTTGGAAGTTGCATATTCTTTGACATTGTGATTTTTCACTTCTTGGAACTTACCTAAGAAAATAGGTGGGTAATATCTATGCAAAAAGTTGTTCTTTACAGCATTTATTATGAAAAGGAAAAACCTAAAATATAATACACTTTATATGTGTTTAACTGTAATAAAGTTGAATATGGTCTCTTAAGAATCTGACACCTTTCCCTACACATCTTTTTCACATTTCTCAGTGCTATCCCTTTTCCAGTGGACCTTTATTGCAAGATTTAGGTGGAGTGTGTTTGATGTTGTAGGAGGCAGTGACATTCAAGGACGTGGCTGTGGTCTTCTCTGAGGAGGAGCTGCAACTGCTGGACCTTGCCCAGAGGAAGCTGTACCGAGATGTGATGCTGGAGAACTTCAGGAATGTGGTCTCAGTGGGTGAGGACAGGCATTCTCTGACTGAACATTGGCTCCCTCTGTTGTCTCTCTGTCCTTGGGTATACAGGGCTTTGGAGCTCTTGAACTGGTTTTCAGTTTTCTAATCATCCATCATAAGACAGATATGGAATTTTTAAAGTCTTTCTCCCCTGGCAAAAGTGTGTATTTTGTTAATGAACCATAAATTGACAGCATGACAACTATACACTTTTATCCTTTCTCAAATTGTGGTCATCTCCAGTTAGTGGGTCCTGATATACATTTGATGAATTGTACCATTGGTTTTTTTAATGAAATAAAATGGGGTAGAAAATGTCAGAGCACTTGGCAATAACTGCACATTGCAGCAAAAACTATGTCCTGTTGCCAAGAAGAATGTGAGAGACAATGGAGGGGGTATGATGAAAACATTTTTTTTCCCAGTAATTTATACTTATATCTGCATATCTTGGGTCTTTGCATGAAATATACTTCCTCCAATGGGTCATGATTAGAAGTGTGGAAAACACTAAGTTTGATGTCCTGAAGACGATGAAATGAGGACAATAATTTTGAGTAATTTTGGCTTCTGATGTATTAATTATAAACCTATGTCCTTGCCTTTTCACAGGGCATCAGTCCACACCAGATGGCCTACCACAGTTAGAGAGAGAAGAAAAGCTGTGGATGATGAAGATGGCAACCCAGAGAGATAACTCCTCAGGTGAGGAGGGGCTGGGGCTGCTGGACATTTTTCTGTTAGCCTTGGAGATATTCCAAGGTTGGCAAACAAAAATGTGTGACGAAGGCATAGTCTAGAACAGTTTTTTTCCCCCTGATGAATATCTAATCTAATTCTAATTTATTGGGTGCTTTTGGATATATGAAGATCTGTATTCATTAACCCACTTAGTTTGCTCAGGATGCTAAAACAAAATACTACCGACTGGGGGAATTATAAACAACGGAATTTTATTTCTGACATTTCTGGGGGCTGGGAAGTCCATGTTCAAAGCACCAGCAGATTCAGTGTCTGCTGAGGGCCCACTTCCTGATCCAATGACAGCACCTTCTTTGCTGCGTCCTTACAGGGAAGGGGCAAGAAATCTCTCTCAGGCCTCTTTTATAAGGGCACTAATCCTATTCATGAAAGATCTGCCCTCATGACATAATCACCTTCCTAATGCCTTAGGAGTTAGGATTTCAGCATACAAATGGCAAGGGCACACACATTGAGACCATAACACTCACATCTAATGAAAGCTTAGCTTTAGTTGTAATCAAATTGAGTATCATTTCCCCCTTGTGGCTTTCCTGTAGCTGTTAATAGTGAATCTTGCTCACTTGGTGAAGAACTACTTTTTAGAATAAAGGTTCTCATAGCCACGTTTTAGGCAGGTCCCCAAAAACACTTTACACAAGGAAAAAACAATGTTTAGAGAATAGCTTTTAAGTCTTTCCCTTTAAAAATTTTCTTTGTGGCAACCATCCACCTCTTCCAAAGAGAGTTACAGAAAAGAATATTACTTATCATTTTAGTAGTCCCTATTCAAATATGGTATGTATGGCAATGCCTTTATTTTCTACAAAATTAGCCACTAAGCAAATAAATGTTATAGAAGATAGCCATTAAATAAACATATACTAAAGAAGGTAGATTTTAGTTTTCTCTGCATTGTAATAAGGGCCTAACATATCATTTTCAATTAGAAACATTATAACCTGGGCAAAATAGGGAAATTGCCCTCCTCAAATTGACACATTCTCAGGAAGACCAAAAAAAGTCACATTTAAAAGTGAAAACTTGCAGCCAGTCATGGTGGCTCACGCCTGTAATCCCAGCACTTTGGGAGGCAGAGGTGGGTGGATCACCTGAGACCAGGAGTTCCAGACCAGCCTGGCCAACATGGTGAAACCCCGTCTCTACTAAAAATACAAAAATTAGCTGAGCATGGTGGCGCATACCTGTAACCCCAACTACTTGGGGGGCTGAGGTAGGAGAATCACTTGAACCTGGGAGGTGGAGGTTGCAGTGAGCCTACAGCGCGCCATTGCACTCCAGCCTGGGCAACAAGAGTGAAACTCCATCTCAAAAAAAATAAATAAAAATAAAAGTGAAAACTTGCAAAGTATATACAGACATGACAAACTATGTAGGCTTCAACTTAAAGGAAACACATTTATCTGTTTCCCAAGTTTCCATTATTACAATGTAACTTTCTATTTGAACAATTTGTTTGATTAAGAAATTAATACCTTTCTTAATCATTTAGACTGGGAGGTTTCAAACTTTTGAGTATGAGTTACAATAAGAAATACATTTTATATCATAAATACAAACATTCACATATGGGTAGGTGTGTGTGTGTGGCCTTAAACAAGAATTTATGCGGAGAAATACATTTCTTGCTTACAAAACACGTCTAATATTTTTCTTTTCTGTTAATGCTTGTCACAAGCAACTGAATTTATTTCCAACTCACTAATAGTCCTAGCCTTCAGTTTGAAAAACAATGGTGTGATCTATATAGAAAAATATATTTACATCCATCCATTTTTATAGTCTGCTTTCAGAGAAAACATTATTCCCGAGGCTCTAAATATTGACTCCTACTTGAAAAAGGAAAAATCAGAGAACAAAAATTTTAGAAGCAATCAGTCCCTAGATCCCCTGGCCACTTTTCTGCCTTATGATTTTTTTTTTTCCTAAGTAATTCTTACCATGATTTTGTGATCAGCATGATTTTCTTATCAGCACCATCCACTTAGCCCTGAATCTGGTGAAACCTTTAAACTTCCCAGAAGAATCGCTCTTTCCAGTCCCTTTCCCATTATGCATCGTTTACTTGAAAAAGTTCTTTCACTTTTGTAATTTGGCTCAAAGTCTCCCAGAGAAGACAAGTGGGAATTCTTTTATTCAACACATCTATTGAACACTGTGTTGAGTCAGGCAGAGCTCTTGGGTGATGATAAAGTGGTGAATGATATAAAATGCTCGTTCTCATGGATGGCAACATCCATTCAACAGAGACATAAAAAATAATAAGGGACATATATAGTTTGTCAGAGGGTAATATGTGCTTTGTCAAAACAAAACAGGTGAATGGAAATTGCCAGGGGTGTAATGTAGATGGGGAGAATTTACTATCTGATATTGAGTGATAAAGAGGCATCACTGGGCCAGGCGTGGGGGCTCACAGCTATAATCCTAACACTTTGAGAGACTGAGGCAGGTGGATAGCTTGAGCTCAGGAGCTTGAGACCAGCCTAGGCAAGATGGTGAAACCCCATCTCTACAAAAAAGTACAAAAATTAGCCAGGTGTGATGGTGTGCTTCTGTAGTCCCAGCAGCTTGGGGGGATAAGGCAGGAGAATCACTTGAGTCAGGAGGTTGAGGCTGCAGCAAGCCATGTTTGTGCCACTGCATTCCAGCCTGGGTGACAGAGTGAGACTCTGTCTCAAAAAAACAAAAAGAAGGCCAGGTGCCGGTGGCTCGCACCTGTAATCCCAGCACTTTGGGAGGCCGAGGCAGGTGGATCACGAGGTCAGGAGATTGAGACCAGCCTGACCGACATGGTGAAACCCCCCTGGTGGTTATGGAAACTTTAATTGCTATCAGGTTTTAGAATAATGTGTGTTATTACCATAAACCTCTTCTCCCAGGTGTTCTCATGGAGGCTATTTCCTAGCAAGAGGTAAAGGACCACTATCTGTTTACACTCGAACTTTAGGTATGTAGGTCAGTGATCCCCAATCTTGGCACCAGGGACTGGTTTGTTGGAAGATGGTTTTTCCACAGACTGGGGTCGGGGGGATGGTTTTGAAATGAAACTGTTCTACCTCAGATCATCAGACCTCAGTTAGATTCTCATAAGATTAGATTCTCACGCAACCTAGATCCCTCGCACGCGCAGTTCACGATAGGATTCGCACTCCTATAAGAATCTAATGTCACCATTGATGTGACAGGAGGCAGAGCTCAGGCAGTAATGCCCACTGGCCTCCCGCTCACCTCCTGCTGTGTGGCCCAGATCCTAACAGGCCACGGACTGGTACTGATCCACGGCCCAGGGGTTGGGGGCCCTGACTTAGGTGATAAGGTATTTTCTGAAAAATGTGTCTTTCTAACTAGCACAGTGCCTCAACATCTCCCAACCTTGGAATAAACTTCCAATGAAATAATCCCAGGCAAAGGTTTTTGAAAATTTATGTGTAGGAGTTTTACTAGACATTTTGAACAGGGCCACTTTGTTCAGATGTCTATGCAGTAGGCAATGGAACCTTCTCCTGGTTCAATGAAGCCTTAGGCTATGGGCCCGAGTTTATAAACTTGACATCTTGGAACAAAACATTATTCACATGCCCCATCTCCACATTTTCTTTATCCTTTTAGGAGCCAAGAATCTAAAAGAGATGGAGACTCTTCAAGAAGTAGGATTAAGGTACCTGCCTCATGAAGAGCTTTTCTGCTCCCAGATCTGGCAACAGATTACAAGAGAGTTAATCAAGTATCAAGATTCTGTGGTAAATATTCAAAGAACAGGCTGCCAGTTGGAAAAACGAGATGATTTGCACTATAAAGATGAGGGATTCAGTAATCAGAGTTCCCATCTTCAAGTTCACAGAGTCCACACTGGTGAAAAACCCTACAAAGGAGAACATTGTGTGAAAAGTTTCAGCTGGAGCTCTCATCTTCAAATTAACCAAAGGGCTCATGCAGGAGAGAAGCCCTACAAATGTGAAAAATGTGATAATGCCTTCCGTCGGTTTTCAAGTCTTCAAGCCCATCAGAGAGTCCACAGTAGAGCAAAATCATACACAAATGATGCAAGTTACAGGAGTTTTAGTCAGAGGTCACATCTTCCCCATCATCAGAGAGTTCCCACTGGAGAGAATCCATACAAATATGAAGAGTGTGGGAGGAATGTTGGGAAAAGCTCACATTGTCAAGCTCCTCTGATAGTTCATACGGGAGAGAAACCCTATAAATGTGAGGAGTGTGGGGTGGGCTTCAGTCAGAGATCATATCTTCAAGTTCATCTGAAAGTTCACACTGGAAAGAAACCATATAAGTGTGAAGAGTGTGGGAAGAGCTTCAGTTGGCGTTCACGACTGCAGGCTCATGAGCGAATCCACACTGGCGAGAAACCATACAAATGCAATGCATGTGGCAAGAGCTTTAGTTACAGCTCACACCTTAATATTCATTGTAGAATCCACACAGGAGAGAAACCCTATAAGTGTGAGGAGTGTGGGAAAGGTTTCAGTGTGGGTTCACACCTTCAGGCCCATCAGATAAGCCACACTGGAGAGAAGCCATACAAATGTGAGGAGTGTGGGAAAGGCTTCTGCCGGGCCTCAAATCTGCTGGACCATCAAAGAGGCCATACTGGAGAGAAACCGTATCAGTGTGATGCATGTGGTAAGGGCTTCAGTCGTAGCTCAGATTTTAACATTCATTTTAGAGTCCATACAGGGGAAAAACCCTATAAATGTGAGGAGTGTGGCAAGGGCTTCAGCCAGGCCTCAAATCTTCTGGCCCATCAAAGAGGCCACACTGGAGAGAAACCCTACAAATGTGGTACATGTGGGAAGGGCTTCAGTCGGAGCTCAGATCTTAATGTACACTGTAGAATCCACACAGGAGAGAAACCCTATAAATGCGAGAGGTGTGGTAAGGCCTTCAGTCAGTTCTCCAGCCTTCAGGTGCATCAGAGAGTTCACACTGGAGAGAAACCATATCAGTGTGCAGAGTGTGGGAAGGGCTTCAGTGTAGGTTCACAGCTTCAAGCCCATCAGAGGTGCCACACTGGAGAGAAACCCTATCAATGTGAGGAGTGTGGGAAGGGCTTCTGTCGGGCCTCCAATTTTCTGGCACATCGTGGAGTCCACACAGGAGAAAAACCATACCGATGTGATGTGTGTGGTAAGCGCTTCAGACAGAGATCCTACCTTCAAGCCCACCAGAGGGTCCACACAGGAGAGAGACCATACAAATGTGAGGAATGTGGGAAAGTCTTCAGCTGGAGCTCATACCTTCAAGCCCATCAAAGAGTTCACACCGGAGAAAAACCATACAAATGTGAGGAGTGTGGGAAGGGCTTCAGTTGGAGCTCAAGTCTTATCATTCATCAGCGAGTCCATGCTGATGATGAGGGTGACAAGGACTTTCCTTCATCAGAGGATTCACACAGGAAAACTCGATAAAATATGTTTTACTATCTCAGATGGGTGCTGAAATATTTTAATAATCAGAGCTATCATAGACAAAACATTTGTTTTATAGAGTCAGTAGTTCAGCCAAGTGATTGGGAGACCACACAGCAGAGAAGCCTCACAAGAGTGGAGACATATGGACTGCATTCAGAACATTGACCATTAGCTGATACATGCAGACAAGAGGATCAGGAAGGATGAGTCTGATCTGGAGTAAATCAGAAGTACTAAGATAGAAATGCTGAATTCTGTTCCACTAGAATATAAGATCCAAGAGGGCAGGGACTTTGTTGACTGCCAAATCTACTCTGCCTTTTCAGTGCCTAATACGTTGTAATTTTTCAGTAGTATTTGAAATTACTGTCATATTTGAAATTCAGTAATATTTGACATTTTTATTTATCTCTAGAAGTTTCTCTAAAATTGTACTCAGAAGAATTCTGCAAGGCTTGGAGGATATATAAGTTAGTCATATGGCCTGATTTTCCCATTTTTGCAGATCTCGTGGACAAGTGTTTATCAAACTGAAGGTTGCAGCTTGTTAGTGGGTTCAGAAATCAGTTTCTGGCTAGCAACTAGAAGTTTTGTATGTTAACAGTACTTTATTGAGGTGTAATCTGCATGCAGTAACATGCACAAGTCTCAAGTTCATGGCTTTCTGAATTTTGACAAATGTAATCATCACCAAGATCAATGTATACAATATGTCTATTAAACCAAAAAGTTTTCTTGTGCCCATTTCCAGTCAATCCCACCTCCAGTGCCAAGTATTATGATTTCTATACCATAAATTAATTAGGTCTGTTCCTGAGCTTCCTATGGATTTAGTATGTACTCTTATATCTGGATTCTTATGATCAAATGTATGATCATCTCAGTAGATTCAGAGAAAACATTTGACAAAATTTAGCATCCACTCATGATGAAAAAATTCTTCAATGAGATAAAAGGCATCCATGAAAATCATATAAGCTAACATTCTTTTTTTAATTAGGGAATAATTTATATACAGTGAAACTGACTCTATCATGCATTTTGGCAAGTGCTGTTATGTGAACACCACCATCACAATCAAGATAGTCTATAGTTCTAGTACCCCCTGCCCTGAAACTTGCTTGTTCTGTTTAGTCAGCTCCTCTCCCCACCACCAGCCCTTGTCAACTGACTCATTTTCTGTCTGTATAGTTTATATCATTTCCAGAATGTCATATAAATGGAATTCTAGAGTATGTTTCCTTTGGAGTCGCACCTTTCACTTAATGCTTCTGAGACTCATCTGTCTTGTTGCATATATCAGTACAGAAGTCATTTCTTTTATTGCTGAGTAGTAGTCTGTCATATGGATGTTCCACAGTTTGTTTATCCATTTATCACTGGTGGGATACTTGGGTTTTCAGTTTTCAGTGATTATGAAGAAAGCTGCTGTCAACATTTGCAAACAGTTTTGTGTGTCCACATTGTCTTAGTAAATATTAGGAGTGGAATTGCTGGGTTGTATGGTAACAGTATACTTATCTATGAAAAACTGACAGACTTTTCTAAAATAACTGTACCATTTTACATTCCCACCACCAGTGTATGAAAGTCCCAGTTCCTTAACTTCACTGACAATTGGTATGTCAGGGTTTGGTTTCATTTTTATTTTGTTGTTAGGATTTCAAAGGGTTATAGCGGGATTTCATTTTGGTTTTAATTTACACTTCCCTAATGGCCATTGAGCATCTCCACTGCTCGTTTGCTATCCATTTGCCTATTTTCTTTTGTGAACTATGTTCAAATCTTTTGTCCATTTTTTTAAAACCTGGATTGTTTCTTATTGATTTTTGAGAGTTCTTTATATGTTCTGGATAGATATCTTTGTCAGTTATGTGTTTTGCAAATATTGTATACCATTATGTGGCTTGTGTTTTTATTCCATTAACAGTATTTTTCACACAAGAAATTTTTTTTAATGAAGTTCCTTTTTTGTCTTTGATGGATTGTGCTTTTGGTTTCAAATATAAGAACTCTGCCTAATCCAAGGTCACAAAGATTTTCTCCCACTTTTTTATCACAAATTTTATGTTTTCAGGCTTTATATTTAGGTCTATGATATATTTGAGTTAGTATTTATATAAGATGTGAATCTTTATATAAGGGAGGTCCACTATTTGCATATGAGAATCCAATTCTTTCAGTATTGCCATGGCACCTTTGTGAATCCATTAACCATACATGTATGGGTCTTTTTCTGGCCTCAGTGCAGTTTCATTGATTTATGTGTCTATCATTTTGCCAAATATTGCACATCTTGACTTTTGTATCTGTATATAATGTCTTGAAACCAGATACTGTGAGTCTTCCAACTCATTATTTTATTTTGGCTATCAAATTTGTCTTGCCATAATTTCCAGAATCAGCTTTGTCATCTGTAAAAATAATTTGCTGGGATTTTTATTGAGATTGCAATGAATATATAGATGAGTTTGGGGACAACTGACATTTTAGCAATACTGAGAATGTTCTAAACCATACACACAGTATCTGCCTATTTAGGACTCCCTTATTACATCAGTAATTTGTAGTTTTAACATATAGATTCTGCACACACTTTATTAGATTTATACCTACATATTCCTTTTTTAGGGTTCTAAATTAGTACTGTTTTTCAAATTTCAATTTCCAATTGTTCTTTTTCAATATAGTTGATTGTTTTATGTTGACCTTGTGTCCTATGATCTTGCTAAACTTAGTATTGGTTTAAGTAGCTGTTCTATTGATTGCTTGGGATTTTCTGTGTAGACAATCTTGTCATCTGCAAAAAAAAAAAAAAATGTTTTTCCCTCCCAATCTATATGCCTATTACAGCACCTCTACTATGATGTGGGGAAACTCCTTCCAAGGTTAGGTTTGAATGTCGAAACTCCTTCCAAGGTTAGGTTTGTATGTCAAACTCCTGACGGTAGTCCTTTGGAATGATCAAAGAAAGATGATTACGGGGTGGGAGGGCTGTCCAAGAAAAGATCCAAAACAGAATAGTCAATGTTCAGGCAGTTTATAAAAGGGGATGTCCTGCCAGCACACAGTTTAAAAGAGGTGGTGGAGGGCATATGCACTTGTGGAGCAGTAAGTGAACCTCATCAGGATTGTGAGGGAGACTGGACATAGGCAAGAGATGCTTATAGGTGGCTTGCACTAAGTCAAACACCAAGTTTCCTCCAGTCTTCACAATTCACCCCTGATGTTTGGGTTAGCACAGCAAACTCCTAGGTTTCCTATAAATAAACTTGCATTTGAGAGAGGCCAAATATGCAAAGTTGACCCAATAAAATTAGGCCAGCAATTATAATAGCTCCCTGAAAGATAATGTGGTGCCAGATAATGTTAATCCAGGCAGAAGGAAGCAGTCAGGAGAAGAAATAGGGATTCAGAAACTCTTGCCACATTTTAGTAACTTAGTAACTTCGTTGACTGTTTTGGTTTGTTATCTACTGAACGATTCTGGAGAGCTTTCCTGTTTTTACTGACCTTCACACAGCCAGAGGTTCCCTTCAGAGGGCCACCTTGAGATGCCACTAGTTAGTCTAATGCAGTATTTTATCAACTACCATGACAGCTACAGAGCTTTATCTCATTAAGGGCTTCTAAATCTTGGGCTGTTTGGTACATATGGTCTGCCAGGAATTGTGACGTTGTTTGGCTGGCAGCTCTAAGAATGAAGTCTGCTACAGAACTGAAAAGATCTAGACTTATGCCTGTTATACCAAAGATTGTGATGAGGCCCAATTTATAATATACAAAAAGGTGGCCTGGTATCCCCTTTTATGGGAAGGGCATTCACCAGTGCATACGTGTGAGGCCCTTGTACTTTCAATGGCTTTATATAATATCAATCGTTGACAGAGGGCAGGAAAGGTGGGACTGTGAAGGAAAAATTCAGAGGAAGAACCTGATGAGGTTGAGGGTGCCTGGGGAAGTAAAGGAGCTGGAGGGTGACCAGAGAGGATGGCGACTGGTTAGTAGTATGGATATCACATACCTCCAAGAGTGTGGAAATCAGTTGTACGAGTGGTTACCCAGGTTGGGACGCCTGCTGGCAGGCCCAGCATTGTTGGAGTTTTATCTCTTGGATGACATGTTCTGTTACTGTTTCACATGTATTATCTGGCAAGTTGAAGAAAGTAGGATGTGGTGTCATGATGAAGGAATAGTGCAGAGTGAAGCATGGATTGTTGGACAATGGGACTGGCGCTGATGTGGTTGTGGAGGTCACTGTGGAGACCACAGAGGGGTAGTTATCATGTCCAGGTCCCAACTGTTAAGCATGAAGGGAAGTATAGTTTTAAAGGCTTTTGTGTAGGGGTCATTTCACCCAAAGGATGAAATTAAGTGGTGTGGCACCAATGGGTGTAAGTTGGCTAGTTTGTAGGGCATTGGCTTACACCAAAAGGGCATCACATGAGGAGCCAATAGAATGGGACAAGGACAAATCTAATCTGCAGTTCCTTGATGCAGAAGAGTAGGTCATTGGCAATGGTAGGTCCCTGTGTGCCGTCATTCATCAGAGTTTGGATATACCTAGATAAGTAAGGGCCTGCCAGTAAGCTTTAGCTTCTTGCAGAGTGTGATTACATTGTGCAGGACAGGAGAATACACAGCTGTAGACAGCTATATAGCAGGCAATGTGGGAGCTTCAGTTAAGTGTGAGGTTTTATGTTAATCTGGCTAGGTGTTGGGCTGTGTTTAATGTTTGATTTAGCTGAAGGTGTCAGAGGTTTCAGTTTTACCTTTCTGTAGTGTCCCTTCTTTTTCCTTCCCTGTTGTCTTTGAATTTCCCTAAGAACTTTAAAAATAGAATCTGTGTCTTGCAGCCTTCTCACTTTTATTATCCTGTTGTTATACAAGAATCCTATTGATATGGTGGTAAAGTGTGGGGAGAGGGGAAGTGTTCTACAATCATATGATTTAATCTGTCTTTTAGTGGGCCTGAGTCCCTGGCCTGTGATCTTCAGACGCAGTTCTTAGTCTTTCTGTTTTCCCCTTAGGTAAGACAGGAAGGCGAGTTGACATATTGCCTTTCTCCCCAGTTATATAAGTATCTGATAAAGTCATTTCCCTTGGATAGCAGTCCTTTGTTATGTGGAACACTCTCAGTGTATTTCAAAATAGTTACTTTTGTCCTCCTCCAAAACATGAGATTTTTCTTGTAAATTCACCATGAGAACCTAGTAGCATTACTGGACGTAAATTCCATGAAAGTGTGAGGCTCCCCCTAAGACTGCGTCCCTGGAAGATTTTTGAAGCTAGCCTCCAATGAATTCTCTAAATTACCAATTAAGCGCTCCTACCAATAGCATTGCTAATTACTTGTTATCAACTAATTGGTAACACTTAGTTACCAACACTTAGTTACCAATTAGCTGGTAATACTTAATTACACTGCTAGTAAATATTACCAATTAGCTGGTAATACTTAATTAGCAGTGTTATTGGTAACACTTAGTTACCAATATTCTTTCCCCGCCTAAATGGTCTTACCTTGGTCCTTCTGCTCCAAGTAAGCTGATCTCCGTTTGCTTGTCTCTCCAGATTTAAGGCTGGTGGTTTGCCTTGTGACCTCTATTATCTGACAGATCCAGAAAAAATTAATTTCTTTAGTTTTTTTTGTTGTTGTTGTTGTTGTGAGGATGGGAGTGATCATCCCAGAAATCTGACTGACTTCCAGAAATTGGATTATCCATTTTTTTTTTATTGTTGAGTTCTAAGAGTTTTTGTATTCTAGATACAAGTCCATTGTCATATGTATGATGGGCAAATATTGTCTCCCATTCAGTGGGTATCTTGTCACTTTCTTGATG